>NC_000007.14:83112839-83415869 GCF_000001405.40 Homo sapiens
CCAAGGACCATTACTTTTTACCAAACTATAGAAAATAATCTGAAATAATCTTTCAAGCCCGGAGTAAAGACCTCCATTTGTCCTCTAACATCAAAATTCATTTCATTAAGCAGCTTAACTCTTAGAAGTGAAAGTTCAGTCAAAAAATGATAATTTTTATCTTGACTCTTTAGTAACAAGTATATCTTGATACCACACACCTAAATCTGGCAGCAGTAGCTATCAAAGCTAGCATTTATTGAGCTTTAGCAAGCGCCATGTACTGTTCTGAAAGTTGTACATGTATTTACTTCCTAATCGTTACAGCAGCCCCACACAGAAGGTCCTCTTATCATCATATCATTTTACAGATGAAGAAAGCCATAAGAGGTTAAACAATTTGTTCTAGCAAGATGGCTATGAAGCTATTGAATGATTTTGAAGCCCTAATGATCTGGCACCATAGTCACCATCTGGACAACTCTTGCTATGTTCCCTCTGCAGGGATCACCACGCCTGTTTTCTTTTTTCCTTGAAGCTTAGTTTCATCCATTTATCCCCCAGCCTTAGCTGTAGATGTATTCTACCTTATAGACCTGATTTTATAATGAGAATTTATTTGGAGAAAATTTTTCAATATATGTGATATGGTGCTGTTTCTCTTTACCATTTGAAATGGGCATAACAGGAAAAAGCAAGGTAGGAAGCTGGTTAAAATATTTACAGCTAACCAGATATGAAGTTGACCAATATTCCAGTTTACTTTATTCAGCTACTATATCTGTAATAACATATAGGATTAATTCACTCATGCTACAAAGATTTTGTCAGCATCTACTGTATGCTAAGCACCTGGAATAATGCCTGGCACTCATAGAACTTGCATTCTAGTGAGGTAGAAGGGTAATTTTGTAAAAACACAATAAATTACTGAATGAACAATTATGTTAAAAGATATTAAGTGCTACAAACAAAAGAAAAAAGGAGCAGGGTAAGAAAACGTTACATTATGGAAAGCAGGTCATAGTATTAAATAAGGTGGTCAGAGTAGACCTCATTGAAATCATATTTAGTCAAATAATTTAAAAATATAAATTTCTTAATGTTTCATATATAAAAAAACTCATTTTCTTTCTAATCCTTCTATACCTTAAAAGAAATATATAAGGGGATACATATTTGTACTTAAGACTTCTTATGAGAGCTTAAAAAATCCTGACAGCCAATACAGGACCAAATAACTAAGTCTCCATGGTAGTCTTAACTACAATTATAACTCGATTAAGAGAAAGCCTGCATTTCACTCTACATGCCATTCACCTAAATGCTGCTTTTCCTTCACTGAATAAACATGTATTGATTACCTACCATGTGCAGGCATTTTGATAGTCCTGAGGAGATAATTCCCTGTGCCCTGGGGATTCATATTCTGCAGAGATTGTACAAATAAACAGGGAATTGCGATGCTATATAAGAGGGCTGACTGGAGTATTAGGGAACATGATGTGGGGTCAAGAGAAAGTGATATTTGGGATAAATCTCAAAAAATGAATGAAAGATAAAGATGTGGGGGTAGTGAAGAGCATTTGGTGAACGTGCAGAGGATGAAGAATTAAAAGTATATACTTTGCTCCTGGGTCTGAGTATAGTCCTACATTAGAAATGATTAAAGATTCAATAGAACATGATAAATAGGGAGACTGCACAAATCATCAGACATCTATCAGGTGATGAATTTTAAAGAAACTTTTGCAAAGTTTTTTGACCAAGAAACATGTTTTTAGTGTAGCACCTTACGTGACAACATTTTACTAAAGTAAAATGTTGGGGAAAAAACTATCCTAGATTATAAAAGTAAAAATAGTTTTTATTATTCATCCATATGTATTATCAGATTGCATTGGGCCCATTAGTTTGTGTATGTCTTTAAATGGTATACAATGCCATGAGAAAATTGACTCTAAGTAGCTTAGTGTCCTGATAAGTGAGCAAGGTTATAAGGATGATTTGTTTTATAAAAGTCATGAAACCTATTCAATCTTTTGTTTCATATGGCTCAGCTGACACTATTCACTTCTATTTATTTCAGTCTTTCAAGTCTATTATTAAGGGTTTTGTATAGTACTTAGATAATACCTGCATAGTTACTTCTGCATCAATGTGATTTTTTTAAAGTGGAGAATGGTTATCCTTCTAATAGTTACTCATGTTATTGCAGTATGTTGATGAATTAAACAAGAATGAGACAATAAATTTAGGACATGTTAATGGATGTCAGACGTCCACAGAGTTTCATGAATGCTATGTAAATAGAAAAAAAATATTAATGGGCATCCTTGCAGACAGTTTATTCAATGAAAAGGTATATTGTTACCGTGTGTTCTAATTGGCTTCCCCTTGAAAGTATGGTTCAGGTAGAGTAATTCTATTTTTAGCAGATACAAAAGAAAATTGCTTGTGAAGTACTTTGAGATAATGAGAGTAACGGCAATATGTTGAAAAAAATCATTCCACTTTCAATGTTACAAAATAGCAAGGTAAACTAAAACTGGGTAAAATGTATAATAGTTATTCTGCCATGGCTAAAAAGTAATCTAAATAATATAAGTCTAATTTTAGGATTTAAAAGATAAATGCCACAATCTTCACTGACCTATGACTTTTATAAGCTGTTAAAACCTTATTATAGTATTTTAAAGGCAAAAATGGAAATGCTTTAAACGAACATCTCTTCTTTCTGTAGCTTTCCAAATTGATATTTCAAAATGATGCCTTTTCATACCTAACTCCATAAACATGTTTTCTCATAATTCAAAAAAATACAACAGAGAAGCAAAATATATTTAAGTCCAACTTTAGGCATTCCACACATAGAGATTGGAGGTTATTTTTATCCTTGTGGTTAATTCCATGTATAAGCCATTTTCAAATACTACTGCTTCTTATATTTCCCCTTGCCAGTACTCCTTACTTTTCAAAGTTGACAAGGCAGATGTGATTCACAGTTCTATAGATTAATACACAACACTGTCATATCATCCCCCCAAATTAAACCTTGGGGTGTCTTCAGTCCCAAACTCTTCCCAGAGAAATTTTTGTTTTAGATCTTATAATTAATACACACAAGCACACATATATAATACTCTCACATGCACACACACACACACGCACACATATACATATATGTATATCATTTTCCCACATTAACATTAAAGAAAAACATATTATTTCAATTAAATGGATGTCTAGTATTACCATTTTTTCTCCAATAGTAAGATAGATCTACATTAAGTAGCATGAAACTACCATGTAAATTCCATCATCAGTAGTGCAGACTGTCATATTTAGATTAGGAATATTGTTTTGCCATCTGATTAGGCAGATTTCTATAATTCAAAGAGTAATCTCAGAGTCATGTTCACAAATCTGGCTGACTAGGAGAAATGCAATCAATTTATTTAAAAATCATACTAACATTTTAATAACGTGGGCTTACGTAACCCACACATAATGCAGCAAGAAAATGTTAGTATATATTAAATTATAGAACATGTGTTTTCTGCTAGAGATGTTCTTATTCGAATATAAGATTGAGTTATTTATTTCACAAGTTTTCCTACTGTTTCTTTTGTTCAGTAAGTTTCAGTAAAGGAAACAACTTTTCTCTTTTTAAATTTTTTTACTGAATTTTTAAAAATTCACAAGTTGTATGTATTCACCATGCACAACATGATGTTTTGAAGTATGCATAAATTGTGAAATGACTACATCTAGGTAACTAACATATGTTTGACCTCACATGGTTATCATTTTTTGTGGTGAGAACACTTTTATACATCCACTCTTTTAGCATTTTTCAAGAATATAACACATTATTAACTATATCACCATGTTATAGAATAAAAGACTTGAGCTCATTCCTTCTAACTGAAATTTTGTATCCTTAACTAACATCTCCTCAACTCCCACGCCAAACATGTCAGGCCTGGTAACCACCATCCTACTCTCCACTTCTGTGATATCAACTTTCTAAAATTACACATGAGGGAGGTAATGTGGTATTTACATGTCCATGTTTATGGTAGCATTATTCACAATATCCAATATATGGAATCAACCTGTATCTATCAATGGATGAATGAATAAAGAAAATGTGGTATGTATAGACAATGGAATACTTTCCAGCTATAAAAAGAAAAGATTTTGAAATGCTGTTACTTGTGACAACATGGATAAATTCAGAGGACATTACATTAAAGATGAAATTTTTAAAAGGAGTTACTGAAAACAAACTTAGTGAAAAGGGTATTTTTATTTAGTACTGTAGCAATCACTACTAGCCCAAACCTTAGGCATATCATTCATTTTCCTGAGCCTAATTTTCTTCATCTTTAATGTAGAAGGCCTGAGAAGTAGTCCTTCTTCAGAAGAGTCTCTTGGGGTAGGATTAGAGGCAGGCCCAAGAGTAAGAGTGGTTGCCAAACGGGCAGCTTCCAGCCCTTAGTTAACTGGCTGAAATTTGCCTCAGTGGGTGCACTTTCAATTTTCACCTGTTTTCTATACTAGGTCTATATATTTAGCATTGTTTAAAGAAACAGTTCATAATATAATATTCTCCCACACATCTTGCTGTTTATGTCAACAATGCAAGGTCTTGGCCACTTTTTATCCTGGCCATTTCTCAAGCATGTGTTTGCAACAGGCAGCCTCAAGAGCTGACATACTATCTCTCTCTGGGACAAAATCGAGCTCGCTTACTGCTGCTATCAAAGAGGTGGATTCTACAAGCTGAGTGTTCTTCACCTGTGACTCAAACTCACTGTATGTACAGCATAACTCTAAGCCCATATTGCATCACCCCCATGGGAGTCAGGGACAAAGGGAAACAGATGCAAATATGCTGATGCTCAGGCTACCTGATGTGCTGAGAGTAATAAAGGTCTTTTTCTTTGACCCAGGAGTCTCATGTCTACAGTTGGATTCTCTGAAACAGTAACAGGTTAACTTATTAGTGAAGTTGGGTAAAGTCAAATCCCAGGACAGATAATAACCTATTACTAGGCTATTATTGTCAAGGTTTACATGGATATTTAATGTTTAATATTAGAACTAGTCTAATAAAAATAGTAAGGTTCTGACACTGAACAATATATAACAGTACAAACTAAAGAATCTAGGAACATAAACTGTGTTTTAATAGAAATTTATTACATGATAAAGGTGGCACTACAAATCAGAGTACAAAGGATAAATTACTTGGTAAATAATTTGGTGACAAGCAGCTATGCATTTCGAATACATAAAATTAGACCTTTCAGCTCGCACTATAACAAAACAAAAGATTTATAGAGTTTTAATTTGAAAAAATAAAACTACAGATGCTTAGGGGAAAATGTGGAAGGTTATTTTTATAACATAAATGTGAAAAATACCTTATTTATCAAACAGGTAATCACAGGAAGGCAGAGCAAAATGGCCAGAAAGAACCCTCCGGCGATCATCTCCATGCAGGAACACCAAATAGAACTACTATACGTACAAGAAAGCATCTTCGTAAGAGCCAAAAATCAAGTGAGCAATAATAGTACCTGATTTTAATATAATATTAAGGAAAGAGGCACAGAAGAGGGTAGAAAGGACAGTCTTGAATTGCTGACAACACCTCCCTCCCACCCCATCCCCCAGCAGTGAGCATAGAGAGAGAATTTCTACCCTTGGAAGAGGGAGGGAGAGCAAAGTGATTGTAGGACCCTGCATTGGAACTCAGTGCTTCCCTGTCACAGCAGAACACAACAGAGGGCATAATTTGGCTGGCATACAAGAAGGAAGCATTTCAAGCAGCCCCAGCCAGAGGGGAATCCTCTACTCCAGCAGTAGGAACTTGAGTTCTTACTAACCCCACTACCAGTGGACTAAAGTGCTCTAGGGTGCTGAATAAATTTGAAAGGCAGTCTAAGCCACAGAGATTGAAGCTGGGCTCAAGTACTACAAGGACTGGTGGTGTGCTAGGCTCAGAACAGTGGAGCTGGGGTGCATTCTAGCCAATGAGACACCATCTGGGGGAAACATGGGAATGTTTATATCACCTCTTTCCCAACTCTAAGCAGTATAGCTCGGGGAGTGACTCTTTCCCCTTGCAGAAAGGAGAGGGAAATATAAAAAAAAATTTTATCTTGCAACTTGTGTACCAGCTCAGCCACAGTAAAATAAAGCACTAAGCAGAGCCCTGAAGCCCCTGATCCCAGGTCCTAACTCCTGGATGGCATTTCTGGACCCATTCTGGGAACCTGCTGCCTACTGGCAGGATTCACTACTTGCCAAATAAGGAGCTCCTAAGCCTTGAATAAACGTCAGTGGTAGCCAGGCAATAGTAGCCATAGCCCTGGGGTGAAATCTAGTGCTGTGCTGGTTTCAGATGTGACCCAGTGCAATCCTAGCTGTGGTGGTTATGGGAGTGCTTGTGTCATCCCTCCCTCAACTCCATGCAGCCCAGCACAGAGAGAGAGGCTCCTTTTGTTTGGGTGAAAGTGAGGGAAGAGAACAAGAGACTCTGACTGGTATTGTAGGAAATTCTCCTGGATATTACTGAAGTCCACCAAGACAGTACCTCTCACAGTCTCCAAGAGTCACAGTATTGCTGTGCTTGGGGTGATCTCTAGTGCAGATAAAAATGCAGTGACCAAAGACTTCAATCAAAACCCAACTCATTTCCCTTTTGAATACCTGGAAAGCATTCTCAAGAAGGAAGGGTACAAATAAGCCCAGACTGCAAAGATTAGAATAAATACTGAATTCCTCGATGCCCAGACATCAATGAACATCCACAAACATAAAAAACATCCAGGAAAAAAATGACCTCACTAAATGAACTAAATATGGCAACAGTGACTAATCCTGGAGCAACAGAGATATGCAACCTTTCAGACGGAGAATTCAAAATAGCTGTTTTGAGGAAGCTTAACAAAATTCAAGATAACACAGAGAATATACCCAGAATCCTATCAGAAAAAAAAAAAGCAAATATTGAAGTAATTTAAAAAATCAAACAGAAATTGTGTAACTGAAAAATTCAATTGACAAACTGAAAAATGCATCAGTTTCAACAGCAGAACTGACCAAGCAGAAGAAAGATTTAGTGAGCATGAGGACAGACTATATGAAAATACAGTTACAGGAGAAAAAAATATTTCTAATAAAGCATGCCTACAAGATCTAGAAAACAGTCTCAACAGGGAAAATCTAAGAGTTATTGACTTTAAAGTGGAGATAAGAGACGATCAGAATAGAAAGTTTATTCAGGGAGGCCAGGCATGGTGGTTCATGCCTGTAATCCCAGAGCTTTGGGAGGCCAAGGTGGCAGATCTCTTGAAGTCAGGAGTTCGAGACCAGCCTGGCCAACATAGCAAATCCTAATCTCTACTAAAAATACAAAAAGTAGCCAGGTGTGATGGCACGCACCTGTAATTCCAGCTACTCAAGAGGCTGAGGCACAAGAATTGCTTGAACCTGGGAGGCAGAGGTTGAGGGAGCCAAGATCATGTCACTGCACTCCAGCTTGGGTGTTGGAGTGAGACTCTGCCTCAGAAAAAAAAAAAAAAAAAAAGTTTATTCAAGGAAATAATAGAGAATAGTCCAAACCTAGAGAAAGTTACCAATATTCAAGTACAAGCAGGTCATAGAGCACCAGCAGATTTAACCCAAATAAGACTATCTCAAGACATTTAAAAATCAAATTTCTAAAATTAAAAGATACACAAAAGATCCAAAAAACAGCAAGAAAAAAGAAGAAAATAACATAAACATGAGCTCCAATACATCTGGCAGCAGACTTTTTAGTGGAAACCTTAAAGGCCAGGAGAGAGTAGCATGACATATTTAAAGCACTGAGAAAACTTTTATTGTAGAATATTATATCCAGCAAAAATGACCTTCAAACATGAAGGAGAAATGAAGATTCCCAGACAAGCAAAAGCTGAGGGATTTCATCCATACCAGACCTGTCTTATAAGAAATCCTAAAAGGAGTTCATCAATCTGAAAGAAAAGAATGTTAACAAGCAATAAGAAATTGTCTGAAGGCACAAAACTTGCTAGTAACAATGATAACAAAAATATATACAGAATATTGTAACACTGTAATTGTGGTATGTAAACTACTTATAACTTGAGTAGAAAAATAAACTTAACAAAAGTAACTATAAAAACTTTTGTATCCCAGCACTTTGGGAGGCCGAGGTGGGCAGATCACGAGGTCAGGAGATTGAGACCATCCTGGCTAACAAGGTGAAACCCATCTCTACTAAAAATACAAAAACAAACAAACAAACAAACAAACAAAAAACTTTTGTAAAGATACACAGTATAAAAAGATATAAATAGAAACAATAAGTTAAAAACTGGGGAGGGAGTGGAAGAAGTTGAGGCACAGAGTTTTTATTAGTTTTCCATTTGCTTGTTTGTTTGTTGTTGCTACTGCAACCAGAGTTGTCAAAAATTTAAAATAATCGGTAATAGAAGGTTATTTGTAAGTCTCATGGTAACCTCAAATCAAAAACCAATAACAGATAAACAAAAAATAAAAGCAAGAAATTAAAACATACCACCAGAAAAAATCACTTTTACACCTAAGAAGACAGAAAAGAAAGAAGAGAAAACCAAAAAACAATTAGAAAACAAATTTTAAAATAACAGTAGTAAATCCTTATTTATAAATTATAACACTGAATGTAAATGGACTGAACTCTCCAATCAAAGACAGAGTGGCTGAATGGATTAAAAAGCAAGACCCAAAAAAATTCTGCCTATAAGAAACTCACTTCACCTATAAAGACACACATAGACTGAAAATAAATGGATGGAAAAAGATATTTCATGCAAATGAAAACAAAAAAAAGCATGGATTGCTATACTTAGACAAATGTTATAGATTTCAAGGAGAAAAGTATGAAAAGAATCAAAGAAGGTAATAATATAATGATAAACGATTCAATTAAGTGAGAGGCTATAGCCCTGACACCAAAACCAAAGACACAACAACAAAATAAAACTATAGCCTAATATCTCTGATAAACATTTATGCAAAAATCCCCAACAAAATACTAGTAAACCAAATTCCAACAACACATTAAAAAAATCATCCATCATGACCAAGTGAGATTTATCCCAAGAATGCAAGGATGGTTCAACATACACTAGTCAATTAATGTGATACATCATATCAACAGAAAGAAAGACAAAACCATATGATCCTTTTAACTGATACTGAAAAAAGCATTTGATAAAATTCAAGATACCTCATGACAAAAACCATTGCAAAACTGGGGATAGAAGGAACACACCACGACACAATAAAAGCCATATAAAACAGACCCACAGCTGATGTACTGAATGAAAAAAATTAAAATCCTTTCCTCTAATATCTATAATAAGACAAGGATGCACTCTTTCCTTCTTTCTTTCTTTTCTTTTCTTTTTTTTTTTTTTTTTTTTATGGTGTTTTGCTCTATTGCCCAGGCAGGAGTGCAGTGGTGCAATCTCGGTTCACTGCAACCTCTGACTCCCAGGTTCAAGTGATTCTCCAGCCTCAGCCTCCCAAGTACCTGGGATTACAGACGTCCACCACCACGCCCAGCTAATTTTTGTATTTTTAGTAGAGAGAGTGTTTCACCATGTTGGCTAGGTTGGTCTCGAACTGCTGACCTCAGGTGATCCACCCACCTGGGCCTCCCAAAGTGCTGGGATTACAGTGGTGAGCCACTGCGCCTGGCCTAGGATGCCCACTTTCACCACTGTTATTCAACGTAGTACTGGAAGTCCTAGCTATAGCAATTAGACAAAAGAAAGAAAGGAAGGGCATACACATTGGAAGAAAAGAAGTCTAATTATCCATGTCTTTAAATAATATAATCTTATATTTTGAAAAACTTAAAGACTCCACCAGAAAAACAATTAGAATTGACAATGTCAGTAAATTTGTAGAATACAAAATCAAAATACAAAAACCAGTAGCATTTCTATATGCCAACAGCGAACAACCTCACAAAATAAGAAAGTAACTTTTTTTACAATTGCTACAAATTAAATTAAATACTTAGACATAAACTTAACCAAGGAAGTGAAAGTTCTCTACAATAAAAACTATAAAACATTGATGCAACAAATTGGAAAGGACACAAAAAAGGAAAGATAGTTCATGTTTATGGATTAGAAGAATTAATATTGTTAAAATGTCCATACTACCCAAAGCAATCTACAGATACAATGCAATCTCTATCAAAATACTAGTAACTTTCTTCACAGAAATAGAAAAAAAATTTATATAGAACCACAAAAGACCAAGAATAGCCAAAGCCATCCTGAGCAAAAGGAATAAAACTGGAAGACTCACATTACCTGACTTTAAATTATACTACAGTGCTGTAGTAACCAAAACAGCATGGCACTGGCATAAAAGTAGACCCGTGGACCAATGGAACAGAATAAAGGACTCAGAAATAAGTTCATACATCTACAGTGAACTCATTTTCAACAAAGATGCCAAGAAACTATACCTTGGGGAAAGTGTATTCTCTTCAATAAATGGTCCTGGGAAAATTGCATATCCAAATGCAGTAGAAGGAAACTAGATCCCTGTTTCTTACCATATACAAAAATGAAATAAAATTGATTAAAGAATTAAATCTAAGATCTGAAACTATGAATCTACCAGAAGAAAGCATTAGGGAAACTCTCCAGAACATTGGTCTGGGCAAAGATTTCTTGAGCAATACCTCAAAAGCACAGGCAACAAAAGCAAAAGTTGAAAAATGGGATCATATCAAGTTAAAAAACTTCTTCACAGCAAAGGAAAGAACAAAGTGAAGGGACAACCCATATAATGGGAGAAAATTTTGCAAACTATCTATCTGACAAGGGATTAATTTCCAGAATATACACAGAGCTGAAACAAATCCATAGAAAAAAATCTAAAATCTGTTAAGAAATAGGCAAAAGGGTCAGGCGCAGTGGCTCACGCCTGTGATCCCAGCACTTTTGGAGTCCGAGGCCAGTGGATCACCTGAGGTCAGGAGTTTGAGATCAGTCTGGCCAACATGGTGAAACCCTGTCTCTACTAAAAATACAAGAGAGAAACTCTGTCTCAAAAAAAAAAAAAAAAAAAAAAAAGGCAAAAGGTCTGAATAAGCATCTCTCCAAAGAAAACATACAAATGGCCCAGGCACAGTGGCTCACACCTGTAATCTCAGTACTTCAGTACTTTGGGAGGCGGGCGGATCATGAGGTCAGGAAATCGAGACCATCCTGGCTAACATGGTGAAACCCTGTCTCTACAAAAAATACAAAAAAAAAAAAATTAGCCGGGTGCAGTGGCGGGCGCCTGTAGTCCCAGCTACTCGGAAGGCTGAGGCAGGAGAATGGCGTGAACCAGGAAGGCGGAGCTTGCAGTGAGCCGAGATAGCGCCACTGCACTCTGAGCTTGCAGTGAGCCGAGATAGCACCACTGTACTCCAGCCTGGGCGGAAGAGCGAGACTCCGTCTCAAAAAAAAAAAAAAAAAAGAGAAAGTAAACATACAAATGTCCAACAGGCATATGAAAACCTGCTCAACATCATTAGTTATCAGAGAAATGCAAGTCAAAACTACAATACATTCTCTCACTCCATTTAGAATGGCTTTTATCCAAAAGACAGGCAAAAATAAATGTAGGTGAGGATCTGGAGAAAGGTGAGCCCTCACACATTGTTGATGGGAATGTTAAGTTAGTACAGCCACTATGGAGAATAGTATGGAAGTTTCTTAAAAAGCTAAATGTAGAACTACTATACGATCCAGCAATACCACTGCTACGTATACATCCAAAAGAAAGGGAATATGTGTATAAAAGACATATATGCTCTCCCTCTCCCTCTCCGTCGTCTCCATCTCCCGCTTTCCACGGTCTCCCCCTCTCCCTCGTCTCCCTCTCCCGCTTTCCAGGGTCTCCCTCTGTTGCTGAGGCTGGACTGTACTGCTGCGATCTCGGCTCACTGCAACCTCCCTGCCTGATTCTCCTGCCTCAGCCTGCCGAGTGCCTGGGATTGCAGGCGCACGCCGCCACGCCTGACTGGTTTTTGCATTTTTTGGTGGAGACGCGGTTTCGCCGTGTTGGCCGGGCTGGTCTCCAGCTCCTGACCTCGAGTGATCTGCCCGCCTTGGCCTCCCGAGGTGCTGGGATTACAGACGGAGTCTCGCTTACTCAGTGCTCAATGTTGCCCAGGCTGGAGTGCAGTGGCGTGATCTCGGCTCGCTACAACCTCCACCTCCCAGCCGCCTGCCTTGGCCTCCCAAAGTGCTGAGATTGCAGCCTCTGCCCGGCCGCCACCCCGTCTAGGAAGTGAGGAGCCTCTCTGCCCGGCCGCCCATTGTCTGGGATGTGAGGAGTGCCTCTGCCCGGCCGCCACCCCATCTGAGAAGTGGGGAGCCCCTCCGCCCGGCCGCCGCCCCCTCTGGAAGGTGGGGGGCACCCCCGCCCGGCAGCCGCCCCATCTGGGAAGTGGGGGGCTGCTCTGCCCGGCCACCACCCCATCTGGGAGGTGGACCCAACAGCTCATTGAGAACGGGCCATGATGACGATGGTGGTTTTGTCGAATAGAAAAGGGGGAGATGTGGGGAAAAGAGAGATCAGACTGTTACTGTGTCTGTGTAGAAAGAAGTAGACATAGGAGACTCCATTTTGTTCTGTACTAAGAAAAATTCTTCTGCCTTGGGATGCTGTTAATCTATAACCTTACCCCCAACCCCCTGCTCTCTGAAACATGTGCTGTGTCAACTCAGGGTTAAATGGATTAAGGGCGGTGCAAGATGTGCTTTGTTAAACAGATGCTTGAAGGCAGCATGCTCCTTAAGAGTCATCGCCACGCCCTAATCTCAAGTACCCAGGGACACAAACACTGCGGAAGGTCGCAGGGTCCTCTGCCTAGGAAAACCAGAGACCTTTGTTCACATGTTTATCTGCTGACCTTCTCTCCACTATTGTCCTATGACCCTGCCAAATCCCCCTCTCCGAGAAACACCCAAGAATGATCAATAAATACTAAAAAAATTAAAAAAAAATAAAAGACATATATGCACTCCCATGTTTACTGCAGCACTATTCACAATAGCCAATATTTGGAATCAACCTAAATGTCCATCAACAGATGAATGGATAAAGAAAATGTGGTACATATATAGCATGGAATATTATCCATCTATAAAAAAAGAATGAAATTCTGTCACTTACAACAACATGGATAGAACTGGAAGACATTAAGCAAAATAAGCCAGTCACGGAAAGACAAATTTCTTATATTCTCACTCATATGTGGGAACTAAAAATTAAAACAATTGAACTCATGGCGATAGACAGTAGAATGATGGTTACCACAGGCTGGGAAGGATAGTGGGTGGAGCAGGGCTGTGGGGATAGTTAATGAGTACAAAAATACAGATAGAATGAATCAGATTTAGTATCTGATAGCAAAACAGGGTGACTACAGTCAACTATAATTAATTATATATTTCAAAATTACTAAAAGAGTGACATTGGAATGTTCCTAACACAAATAAATGAGAAATGCTTGAGCTGACAGACAACCCAGTTATCCTGATGTGATTATTATATATTGTATGCCTATATCAAAATATCACATGTACCCCATAAATATATACACGTACTATGTACTCATAAAATTAAAAATGTAAAAGTAATCATAAAGAAAAATTAAAATACTTGATTGCATAAAAATAAAAAAATTCATATAAGAATGAATCTCATAAAGAAATTTAAAAATGAGTGACAGATAAGGGAAAATCATTTCCAGATAGATAAATTGATAAAGATTTAAATTATCTAAAACATAATATACAGACACTCCCTCCCCCAAAATCACCAACAGGTATAAAAAGGAAATTTTTAAGAGGAGAAATATAACTGATTAATAAACTCGTGATGTTGATAAAAACTTATATGATGTTTACCCTCAAAATAGGCAGGGAAAGTTAAATTTATGCAACAATGCAATATAATTTCTGGCTCATGAAATTGATAAATATTATATACTAGTTAATGTAGGAAAAAAGAGATACATTGTTGGCAGGACTATAATTATTATCAATATTTAACAAAGTAATATGGAAGTTTCCATGAAATTTTAAAACCCATTTACCTGAATACATCCATTTCAATGAATTTATATACTTAAAAATACAATGTAAATTATATGTACAAACATTTTACTACCGCTTTGTTTATAAAGTAACAAGAGCTAGAAACACTCCCAATTTGTTAGTTTTCAAGAGGAGAATGTCTGTAAGTACTGTGAGATATTGTACATCTATTCACCTTATAAATACAACGATACCTTATAAATACAATGAGGTAAGTCGGTGAGTGTTCACTTGAGAATGACTAATGTATAATGTTTAGTGAAAAAAAATCAATGAAAATATGTGTAAGTTCACATATTTGTTTCAAAATAAATAATTTTCAAAAACATAACTATCCCAATAAAGTTTTAAAAATGTCAAATCCTTCCACATGTCAGTCACTATGTGTATATAACCATTATAAAAACAAGCAAAAATCATTAGAAGGTATGTTTAAATAGATAAGATATCACTTTCAGGCATGCAGAGGGAAGAGGAACCCATTCATTTTCCTTCAGATATTTCACTACTCTGTGGATTGTAATAAGAAAGAATACTACTTTTGGAATTAAAATTATTGAAATAGAATTTTAAAAGTAAAATGAATGACCATCAAAAAATGAAAGGAAGAAAATACTGGACATGGTGATATATTCCATTTGTAATATTCTGCATTTCTCAGTCTTCTGGTAGCAATTACTTCAACAGCTGAACATTTCCCCTAAAGCCACAGAGATAGTATAAACAGACTCAAGAGTTCTGAAAAGAACAGAGGAATCATTTGGAACCAGAGAGGTCAGCAGAAAATATAGGATGTTCTGACCTAAAGTTTGATAAAGCCACAGTATGCTAGTAGGTAATGTGGATATTGCTTACTAATGATTAGCAGGACCTAAGTACTTTGATCATTAGGCCACACCAGGCATCAGCAGTGTATCTCTTGACAATGATAGCCTTGAGATCTATCTTCTCTGTAGACCATATAAAAAATAATCACACAAATATGCTATGCTACACTGTATGCATATGCAATATCAAAGTTAAAAGATAAAAAGGCAATAGTAACAACAATATTTGAGGAACAAAAGCCTTACCCAATATTAATTGCACTTGAATGAATTCAGAAGGAGCCAAAGGAAGCCTTACATCTTTTATACATTTTAGAAATATCAATTACTATCCAAAAGAGCCAACAATCAAACCATCGAGACAGGGATAAAGCCCAAGACCGGGGATGTAAAACGAAATGGCTTGTGCAAAAGATAAGGTGGGAGAGTGTAACCAGAAAAAATGAACAAGTCATAATATAAGAACAATACTAACCCAATATTCTAAAATGTCATTTCTATATATAATCAACAAAAATTGTTTTTGCGATATTTAACTTTTTTCATACTAAGTTTTTGAAATCAAATTTGTATTTTACACTTCAAGAACATCCTAATTTGAGTTAGCACAGCGTTCATCAGCACACGTGACCAGTGACTATTATTTCAGATCATCTCCAGAAAAACAGTAGCATACATGCAAACTTCGTTAGACTATTAATTGATACAACCACTGTGGAAAACAAAGTTAGAATGTGCATAACCTATGGCCCAATAATTCAATTTCTGGGAATGTAACAAAAAAAAGACTATACAGAAAAGATAGAAGCAAAGACTTCACCACCACGACCAATGAAACACTGAGATAGTTATCATTTTCATGGAGTAAAGTCTTTGCATGCATTGGAAAGAATATAACAGTATTTCTTGCAACTGGAACAACTATGTTTTACACACTCATACTCACTAGAAAGGCAGATAAATCATTTGAACATTGAACCATATACTTTCACCTAGGAATGGTGGCCAGTTTGTAGACTTAGCTGGAAAAAACAATTGCACAATGATTCCAGCTTCTATGCTTCTCTGAACCCCTGAATCTGCTTCATTCTTCTAAATTCAACCATGTAACAGCCATCATTATTCCAAGGGCCCCAAATGTTACCTGGATGTTATGCATATATTTACAAATTTGTTGGTATTAAAATCCTAGCAATTACCAACTGATGCAACTTTAAGAGAGCACTGAACAAGTGGCATTATTATCTAGTACCTTAGGTTTTCTAAACAATATAGTAAAGAGACCACTGGCTTAACCTCTGAACTATACCTTTGTGGCTTGATAGCTACACCTCTCAGATACTCATTCTCCTAATCTCTAAAATACAATAAAACCTATCCCACAGGGTTGTGGTGAGAAAAGTGCTTGGCACAATTGCCTCACATAGGCCAAGTCAAAATAGCTGCCCTATTATAATTTTTTTAAGCAGTAATTGATATCAATTTACCTTTCAAACATCGCACAGTTTTTTTTTCTGGATCATAATTAAAATCATCTATTTACGTTTAATATCTAAAATAAAAACACATGGTAATCAAAAATATAAGGCAAAGGAACAATATTACAGCACTTTTAGACTTCCAAATTAAATATTATTTTAGATATTATTCAAGTTTGGAAGGCTATAGTGAGAAAGAAATCACATACACTAGTGGTGGCAGTGTTGACTGCTATCACATTTCCAAAGAGAATTTGTTATTCCAAGGTCCTCATCCCTTGATGTAGCAACCGTAGTACAAGTTTTCCTTGGGAAATAGTTAAAAATACTAACATTTTTGTCCAGAAAATTCATTAAAAATGACAACAGCCTAAATCCTGAGTATAAGAAAAATGTGTATAACAAAAACATACATCCATAGAATTAGGTAATAATTATTTAAAATGTTACTTTGGGTGTTTAATTATATGGAGAAATGTTATATGTTTACTCAGATACAGAACTACTATACAGAGTAGAACATTAACTACGTAAAAATGCATAGAAAAATGGGAACTAAGAAGAAAATTACTTTTGGCTTAAATTTATTTAAACAAAAATACAGCTTTATTTTTAATTGCTCATTGAATATTTTAACTAAATATTGCTCAATAAAAAGTACATCAAATTTATCTTAAAAATTATTGACTTAAATTTATTTCCTAATTTTTTTTTTTTAATGTCCAGCTTATAAACTTTTTATACCGACTTTAAAACTGCTATCAGGTGTATTCTTTGCCATGGGTGCCAGAAATTTTTAATTAATGTAGATGTCCATTATGTTTTTGTTGTTGTTGTTGTTGTTGTTGTTGTTGTTATTATTTGAGACGAAGTCTCCCATTATTATTATTTGAGACGAAGTCTCTCTGTGTTGTCCACGCTGGAGTGTAGTAGGGAAAACTTAGTTCACTGCAACCTCTGTCTCCCAGGTTTAAGCAATTCTCCTTCCTCAGCTTCCTGAGTAGCTAGGACTACAGGCATGAACCACCATGCCGGCTTTCTCATATTTCTAGTAGAGACAGGATTTTGCCGTGTTGGCCAGGCTGGTCTCAAACTCCTGACCTCAAGTGATCTGCCCACTTCGGCCTCCCAGAGTGCTGGCATTACAGGCATGAGCCACTGTGCTGACCAGTCTCCATTATGTAATTCTTTTGAAACTAATTAATGGTAGAATTCTTTTATCCTTATTGATTTCTTCTTATTGATAATTCTTTTAGCCTTTAATTTCTTTTGTGTGTGTGTATGTAAATGCTTTTGAGTACTGAATATATATGCTTTTTAATGTATTAAGTAATGGCCATTAAAGTAAAAGGAAGATATGTGTTTGCAAACTAAAAAATGCAGGATATCTCCACTAGGCCATTTTTGAGTATTTAATGGAAAATGTGGAAGCCACCCAGGCAGACAGAGTAAAGATCTCAAAAAATCTCAGTTACATCACTGGGTCTTATCTTAAAAGACTCATTTGTTGCATAGTGACAAATATCTCCTAGCAATTCCTACATTATTTAGGCCATGCACAATCATCTTGCTAAGGAAGCAAAATTATGACTCCAGGACTTCCTGAAACATGAGGAAACATATTTACTTTTAAATATTATTTTCATAGTAAAAAAGTTAGCTTAGAAAAGGGTGCTATCAACAATAAAATAAATATCCATTATGAGTAATTCTGACTCATTTTGAATTTGATTACCAGAATGACAAAAAATTCACTAGGTAAACTGATTAGGCTGTTTTTCTCAGTATGCTTCCAAATTCTGTAAGACCAGCTTTTTAAGAAAGCTCAACTGCCATTTTTAAAACTCTTTCCAATACAAGGTATTTTCTGACTTGGCAGAAATTAAAGCCTAAAAGAATTGTCTCTTGCTGTCAGAGGTTAACGGATCATATTGCCATTTATACAAACTGGGCATCAATCAGTTAAACAGTAAGGCTTAGGTTGAGGTCTGGCTGCACCCCAGGGCCTGCAGGCAGCCGTTGGCACTCCTCAGGTACAGTGGGAGGTGTTATGTATGAGACAGGAAACAACCTTAGCGACAGGTGTGTTTGATTAATGAAGGAGAAAGAGGGAAACCATCTACAGCTTCCCAACCAATGACAAAATATGACGAGCTCTTCTCACAACCGGAGAAACAGAATAGCCAAAGGGAGAGGGGGCCAGGGTGGCACCAGCAGGAAAAATGTCCTGTCTCACAGCAACCAGTATAGGAGAAGCAGAAGCTTGTATTAGAGAGTTGGACATACTTCATAAGAAAATAAATGAAATTATTGAATCTTTTCTTGAGGGAATACCATTTATTTGGACTTCAGGCCTAAAATCTGAGTATTTTCAGAATGTCCCCTCTGAGACTGGCATGGAAGTACGGTACTAACCAGCCAAGCAGAAAATATTAGGTCACAAGAAACATATTACAAGCAGAATAAGGAAAACATAGACACACAACAAAGATCTGGGAGGAGATGCTTTCCTAACTCCTGAGAGAAATGAAGAAAGATTTATTAGTAGGAACACTGACATTGTACCATGAATTACACCTGTTAATAGTATTTACAGTTTGCTGGATACATATACATCTATACATAAGGGTATATGTATATATGTTTATATATGTATATGTGTACAAAGGTATATATATGCATATATACACACATATGCAAACACATGCCATTCTTTTCAACTAACTCCTTTTGCCATTTTTCCAAAGTCCTATGGAGTAATGATAGAGACTACCTGAACATGTAATAACTCAGCTAACCTTTATTCATTCCCCTGATGCCAAGTGAACTTTACCTAGAAACCAGAGGTCACCAAGATCTTATACTAACTGAAAACTTCATGTACATTAGCATAGTCAAGGTAAGCCAGGAATACTAGTTGCTTTTGTTAGATCTTCTTCCCTTCTGAAACCTAATCTTCCAAATTCAAAGAAACTGCCACAGAGCAAAATAATTTGAACAATGAATGATTATCTAATACGATCACTCACATTTGAAGTATGACCTCATCTAACCTGTCTAAATACTTGAGACAATTTAGATTTTCAAACTATTCAAAGTACTGAAATTCCACACATGTCCTTTGTAATTCTCTGCTTCATTCAAGAAATCTCCTTTCCAAATTACCACTTTCAAAATATAATTTGCCAACACACAGAAAATCAAAGACTTCCCTGAAAGGTGTATTGTCTTTCTACCCAAGGAACTCTCATTAGACTTCCAAATATTGACAGAATTCTAATAATTACTATAATTCAGATGCACACATACATATGTATGCATATCCATACACATATATGTAAAATTTTAAGTTATAGTGCTCAACTCATACTACACACCCATTTTTAAGTGTGTAAAAATATACTTTAAATGCAAAAAGTATAGTTTTGTTTTTAGAAATGCAGTTTGCTTCATAACTTCATTGTGTTGATACTATAAGGATCCTCCTTACAAGGTACAATTTTGTTTAATATATAAAATAAATACAATTGTATTGGGGAAAAATTTTCTCTCATGAATTGACAACCAAAAACTGCTCTTCTAAAAGTGTTTTTTTTAAGGTTTGTTTTTGGTTTTACTTTTACATTGAATCCAAAACACTGTAACTAATAATGACAGTTGTTACCACTCATGAAGTCCTAAGAGAAACCAAAATTTATGTCCCTTTAAGATGACTCTTAGTTAAAATTATTCATCACAGCTAAAGAGGAAAAAAAATCTGCTTAAACTTGTAGCAACAACATTTTCATACAGTGTTAATTAGATCAAAGCAAACAAATGTCTTTTTAAAGTAAAATGAAATTTTTCTATGGTTTATTTTTTAAAAAAATATTTAACTCAAGAACACCACCAAAAACAAACTCTAAAGCTTATTTTATATAAATGCTAAAATCTATTCAATTTTTTCATCATAATGAATAACAAAATCAAGGACATTGGAGTGAAATTATTCTTAAGTATTTTTGGTTTGTATGAAACCTTGGAACAATTATTCAGATTAATTCCCAGACTGTTTATTAAAACATTGTTGTTACTTATTTAAGACAGCAGTAATTGTTTAACCCTCTAGTCTCCCATGATTTAAATATTCTAATAGCCCTAACATGCTATTAATGTTAATAAATTCATTCTTTTATAACTATATTAGAAATTCGTCGTCTGCTTTTTAGTCATTTACATTGCAGAAAAAGTATTCTTATCATCCCTTTAAAAAACCCTTCATGTTAGTTATAGAAATTCATATATCTTTCTTTCTTTCCACAGCTCCTAGTAAAGTGCCATATCATACAGATGCCCAATAATATTTCAAACAGAATTATAAAAAGCCTAAATATAATATATTTGAACCACTATTTTCTAATAGGCAAAATTTTTAACTTACACAAAGTTCTTAACAGTTTTTAACTGTTCTTAACATAGTAGATTTTATGGTGTTTATGCATATTCAACCAAACAAACTTCTTTTATTAATGTATTACAGAGACTGGAAGGATTAGAGATGGGAATAAAATATTAAAACCTTTTATCTGGAGTTTACATGTGAAAATATTAAAACCTTTTATCTGGAGTTTACACGTGAAAATAGTCCTCAAAAGCTATTATTTTTTTCTTTATTTCATGAATGATTGGCTCATTGTTATATTAATTTAATAATTAAGATGTTCATTTAACTTATTTCATCTTCTTACTTGTGGAACATTAACCCAGGAAAGTACAAATAACATGAACTCTTAGTAAGAAGGTAAGCTGGTAATAAGTAATTGAAACTTCTAAGATTATCAATTTATTTTCTTCACCACAAATGTATTTTTTGCTCAGATATTTGGCCACCCAAATGTTTCAAAATAAACCCACAGACTCACCTCCATATGTAATATATATATATATATATATATATAACTTACCTCAGTCAAATGTGGTGTAGGGTTAAATCCACAGAGATTACACACTTGATTCTTGCATTCAGTGCAAGTATTGAAGTTAGGAGGATCCTTAGAACCTATGTTGAGTTCAGTTTTGCAGAGAGGACAGGTTGATTCTGGTTTGGGCGATTTCTCCAGTTTTGTGGGAAGGACAGCCTTTTGAGGCTCAGCTGTTAAAGATTTGCTATCCTTAATAGGTGGTGGCTTTTTTTCTGTTTCTGTTCTTTTTACTGTTGGAGCTTGTTCAGCTTTGGGCTCTAATTTTTCAGCTGCTGGGGCTTTTGTTTCCTTTTTCACAGGTATACTTTTTGCAGGTGCTGGTGGTGCTTGACCTGTGGATTTGGGTGGCCCTTGTGAAGTAGGTGGCTGTGAAGGGGCAGGGGCTTGTTTCATTGGGGCCCCTGGTCCACTTTGTGAATGAGGTCCAGGTTGGCCTGCAGTGGAAATTAAATTTGATGCCTGGCTGAAGATTGATGCTCCAAACCCAAAGAGTTTCCCAGTCACGGTCTCTTGAGGAGTTGTAGGCTGTGATTTGGGGGCATCAGTAATACTTCCCAGATTCAGACTGAAACGCCTTGACTGCTCCTGAGGCTTTGGGGACTGTTGAGGTGTGGGGACAGTTTGGCCAGCGGTAGGTCGTGGGCCAGGGGGTGTTGGTGACCCTTTTGGCATTGGCTTGGCATCTGGTTTAGGACTCATTTTGGTTTGTGCTTTCTTGGGTTCTTCCTTCTTTTGTACGGGGTCAACTTGTTTTTGACCTTTGCTCTCTGAACTGGGACCAGGATGTGAAATAATTTTTGAATCTGATGCAGGTCGAGGTATGGCTTTAGAATCAAATGGGCTGACTTTTTCCCCTGTTGGTGGAAAACTCTGTGAGGGTTTGGCAGAGTCTGTTTTTAGAGGAGGGGTTGTTTTCTCTTCAGCTTGTGACTGTACTTTGGAGCTTGGAATATCAGGTTTTGTTGTTGCTGATGATGAAGATACAAGGTCAGTGGTTGGCTTTACCATCTTGGGCTGCTTTGGTTTATCATCAGCAACAGGGGCCTTGTCCTGCTCAGATGGGACAGAAGGTTCTTTGGGAGGGGCTGGCTTGGACAAAGAATCTGCCTCAGGGGGCTGCTTGGCCTTGGCTGAAGGAGAGCCATGAAGGGTTGGTTGTTTCACTAGTGGTGGTGGCTTTTTAGGCTCAGGTGCCTTGGAGAGATCCTGTTTTGGTGCAGCATCCTTCTTTGGGGAAGTCTGCTGTGGCTGTGGGGATGATTTGCTCACTGCTGATGTAGTGGTAACAGGTGCAGTCTTCAGTTTGGGCTGGGGTGATGACGGAACTGGAGCCAGATCCCCGCCTAGAGCTCTTTTCATTTGACAGTTCAAACAGAGCCACTCTTTTACCTACAAATAATATAAAACAATGGTCACCGAGACAATACTGTAAAAACACAAAAATGTTTTCAAAACATGCATACTGCCATTTGAAACTATGTCTCTCATCATTCAAAGCAGAAAATATAGAGAAAATTATTTTAATAAATTGATATTAAAATATAATTAATTGCCAGGCGTGGTGGCTCATGCCTGTAATCCCAGCACATTGGGAGGCTGAGGTGAGTGGATCACAAGGTCAGGAGTTTGAGACAAGCCTGACCAACATAGTGAAACCCCATCTCTACTTAAAATACAAAAATTAGCTGGGCATGGTGGTGTACACCTGTAATCCCAGTTACTCAGGAGGCTGAGGCAAAAAAATCACTTGAATCCAGGAGGC
This sequence comes from Homo sapiens, assembly GCF_000001405.40. Taxonomy (NCBI): domain Eukaryota; kingdom Metazoa; phylum Chordata; class Mammalia; order Primates; family Hominidae; genus Homo; species Homo sapiens. The sequence continues at coordinate 83,136,030 of NC_000007.14, forward strand.
TGAGGTTGCAGTGAGCCGAGATCGCGCCATTGCACTCCAACCTGGGTGACAGAGTGAGACTCTGTCTCAAAAAAAAAAAATTATATATATATGTCTCCTCAGGGACTAAAGTACCCTATATTAAGGAATATATAAAGTAAAAATCAAAATATAGTTTTGTGTTTCTTCTAATGGTAATTGTTATTCTTTGCCTTTGATTTACTTAAATTTTGATTATCCCCAGAAATAGAAAACCATGTATAATTTAAGAAAAAGCAAGTTTTATGTGTTTTTTTAACAAGCTTTCACAAAATTTGTTTTTTCTTAGATTATACATGGTTTTCTGTTTCTGGGAATAAAACATGTTAGATATCATAAATCAGTTATGAGAGTTATTTTCTCTATTGATGGCTCATAATCAATTTTAAGATATACAGCCCAGAGTAGGATTGCTAAATTATGAACACATTGCTAATTTTTAAAATTAGCAAAGCATTACTCCCCCCTCCCAGGTGACATTCAAATATTTTAAAATACAAATTGTTAACAATGCTGAGTTAGAAATAGGATATTCTCTGTTAACAAAGTAAATAAAAAATAATAGCACTCCCTCAAATGATCACAAATAGCATGATTTAACAGGGAAAACATGGTTTCCTTAGAAATTTTATGAAGATACTTGAAAAAGCAATATGAGTAAGTAACGTACATATTTGACTGGTGATATATACATGTACATGTATGCATGTGAATGAGAGAGATTTGTATATATATGAGATATACATATATATACACAATATGCAAATGCTTTTTTGCATTGCATCTATTGTGAAAAGATGTTGTGTTTGATACCATATTTTACAAGATAATTTAAAAGTACCTATGTTTAACATTTACCTTTTTTATTATTCTAAAATAATGTTTCCTTATAATAGATTATTTTAAATATTACCAAAATAATTTAGAATATATAATTATGCCATGATCCAACGTTCTCCACCCAAGGTAACCAATGTAAATAATTTGGCACTGAAATTCTTTGTACAGAATGCTGCACAATGAAACAATATATATAAATAGAAGGAGCACAGGCACCAGACAAATTTCCCACAGTACAAAATTGCAAAGTGTTCAGCTGGCAAACAGTACATTTTCTATTTTCAAACAGTTTCTTTTTGAAAAACAAATTGAATTAATCATTCCTAAACATTTTAAAACTTCTTTGAAATTATTTAAACTCATGTACCAGTATCACAAGGCTTATTTTGCACTCTCACGGAAAGTAAACTTATGTTTGGAGAAGGTTAAATGAGATTTTCAGTTTGAACTGAAACGTTATACTTCTGTTTTAAAAACTGAATCACAAAGTAAAATTATGATATTGTTAAACATGGGTGGTTGGTACATGGATATTCATTCATTCATTCATTCATTTATTTAGAGATGGAGTCTCGCTCTGTCGCCCAGGCTGGAGTGCAGTGGTGCGATCTCGGCTCACTGCAAGCTCTGCCTCCCAGGTTCACGCCATTCCCCTGCCTCAGCCTCCCGGGTAGCTGGGACTATAGGCGCCCACCACCACGCCCGGCTGATTTTTGGTATTTTTTAGTAGAGACAGGTTTTCACCGTGTTAGCCAGGATGGTCTCCATCTCCTGACCTCGTGATCTGCCCACCTCAGCTTCCCAAAGTGCTGGGATTACACAGGCATGAGCCACCACGCCCGGCCATGGATATTCATTATATTTATTTGCAATATGGGTATTATACACCTCTGTACTCACTATATTGTCTTAACCTTTCTATATGTTTGAAGCATTTCACAAAATAAATAACTCTTTATACATATAAATATTTGAAGTCCTAAAACAATCAAACAATTGCTACTTCTGCAAGTACCATGACAAAAGGCAGGCAAAAATGTAAGAAAATTTTCACTCCATTTTCCTTAATGGAAGGAAATATGTCTATAAATATGCATCTACCCACTCACTCATATCCCCTATTATCAATGTCAACTCTGCTGTTCTACTATGTGTTTTTCTCATTAATTTTCTTCCATAGTCTCACATGATCACCTCATAATCATGCAGCCAGACAAAAGAAGAAAAATAGAATTAAAGGCATAATTCTTACATGTATAGTCACTGACTTTTTTCTATAAAATACCTATTACGTGCAAGATCTGTATCCACATTAACTAGTTTAAATTATAAATTTCCAGGATTAGTAATTTTCATTACCATTAATTGCTTTTATTCTTTTTAACAAGCGTCATAACCAAAGTAGTTTCAAAATAAAAAATTCTTTTATGCAAATATTTATTGAGCACCTTCTATAAGGCAAATACCACTGAATAAAAGAAGCAAAAATCATGCCGGGCGCTGTGGCTCAGGCCTGTAATCCCAGCACTTTGGAAGGCCAACATGGGCAGATCTCCTGAGGTCAGGAGTTCGAGACCAGCCTGGCCAACATGGTGAAACATTGTCTCTATTACAAATACAAAAATTAGCCAGGTGTAGTGGTGCATGCCTGCAGTCCCAGCCATTTGGGAGGCTGAAGTTGGAGAATCGCTTAAACCTGGGAGGTGGAGGTTGCATTGAGCCGAGAAGCACTCCAGCCTGGATGACGGAGCAAGACTGTCTCAAAAAGAAAAAAAAAAGAAGCAGCAGCAAATATCCCTGTCCTGATGGAGGCTATATAACAACCAAACAAGTGAATGCATAAGACAATTTCAAGGTTATGGTAGATACCATAAGTGGGAGATGAACAATGAGAACACATGGACACAGGGAGGAGAACATCACACACTGGGGCCTCTCGGGGGGTGGGGAAATAGGGGGTGATAGCATTAGGAGAAATACCTAATGTCGATAACAGGTTAGTGGGTGCAGCAAACCACCATGGCACGTGTATATCTATGTAACACACCTGCACGTTCTGCACATGTATCCCAGAACTTAAAGTATAATAAAAAAAGACATTAAAAAATTATGATATAAAATCCCAATTCAAGTTGTTTTAAAAAGAGAAAACAATTATCTTTATATAATAGCGGAAAATATAGATGGCGGAATTAAAGCCTCGTCATATTTTCTAACAGAACTTTCTGATAAACTTGATTAAATAAAAATTTTAAATATCACTAAACACATAGAAGAAATAAATTTAAACCTTCACAAAAAATAAAGTACAATGAATGAAGACAAGGTGTACTTGAAAAAAGAACTGAATAAATATTCTACATATAAAAAAAATCTGATGATATTGTGGTGATTCTTTACTTTGCTACTAGTTTCTCTTTTTTTCTTCTGAAAAATTTCTTGGGATGTATTTGGTTTCATTAGTAAAATTCTAAGTTTCTTTGCAATCTGAACATTGGAGCTTCATCCATAGCCAGTATGCCCTAACATTATCTTTGGACAACTGTAAAATTAGAACACTGCCAGACATATTTAATGTATGATGTATATCAACACTGGGACACATTTTATACTATCTTTATTCCAAAATCAAATGATTCACTGTGGTTTATAAATGTACATGGATATATCTCTACCTAAGCAGATAGTTAGGAGAGTTAGTAAAAATGAGGTGGAAAATAGGAGTCACTGTCCCTTCACAGGGAGAGAATTCTGCTTTTCTCCTAATATACCCTTTGCTTGAACAGACTCCAACCCCTCATCTTTTGTCCTTTAAATGACCACATTTATTTTAACTTTGATAAACAACACAGAAAGATATTTGATCCATCAACATTCACCCTCATTGCTAGAATACGGGTTGAAATCATTATCTACGGCTAGCACTATATAAAAGCTTTTATCCTCTTAGGATTTTTTAGAAAGCACCTCCTTTTTATTTAATTATACTGGCCAAATCTGTTGAAGGTAGAAATGATTTGTATTTCAGCACTTAACAGTCTTGTATTGAAAACAGCAGCTTTTGCAAGCCCCGATGCAACTGACAAAAAGACAAAAGAAAAAGAAAAAAGAAAAAAATCTTTCCTACACATTGACCAAATGAAAAAGTCCATAACCAGCCCCAGCATTAACGTCACAAACCATCTTTACTGTCAGTCAGGTCTTTCACAGCGCACTTAGGGTGAGCAATGAATAGTAATACTTCCACTGCTTTCTCAGTTACCCAAGTTCAAAATCTCATAATATTTTTGCCACATTCCGATTTATTCTGAAGTGGGTCTGGATTGCTTGTGAAATGTTCTCTCACATTTCCAAAGCCACTGTCTCTCATTTGGCCATTATTATTTCTCAAACACTTCACATTTTCACCAAAAGTAACCTGTTTAATACAACCACTCCCCTTCAAACCTCAATGCCTTAATGCCTTTATCTATGAAATAAAGTAAAAATGTTTACAAGAAATTTAAAGTATATAATTCTGTTGGTGTTCTTATGCTAGTATTTATGTAATTCTGCTATTTCCAAGCCTGTATCTCCCCAGACTCAAAACAACAAACTGTAAAGATTTACTCATGGTAGTCTTTCTATTAATCTCCAGTGTATATATGACACTTTAAGCATCAGTTATGTTCACAAACATTTTTTGAACTAGTTTGAATTAAACAAATTAATTTAAAATATTTAACTGTGCTCTGTGTTTACTGTGAATCTCCCACTGTTTAGCCAATCTGTACAGCATTCTCAAGATGCATGCCATTCTCCATAGAACCCTACTTTGTACCTTAGGCCACTGAAAATCTATTCACATTTTGATTCAAATTGAAGAGTCTCTCACAATTACAACATCTGCTAGCCATAAATATTTTTCCTGCCTGGAGATAATCACTGCCTTGTTTTACTTCCAAAATTAAACCTTTATCTCCAACACTGAGTAGAGACATACCTGCCTCAGACACTTGCTGCCAGTTACACATAGTAACTATAATACACTTGGTCCCTTCATTCTGCATGATTGGGTTTTCATCTGCTACAGCCATAAATGAAAATCTTAGATGATTTTAGTCCTTATCACTTCCTCCCCATGCCTGATTCACAGAAGATGGAGAAGTTAGGCAGACAATCTCTGCAGCCATGCCTGATTCACAGAAGATGGCTTCCACAAAGGTTTCCTAAAGAACTTCCCAAATGCCCTGTCAAAAGTGGCACTGCCTCTCCAACATGATACTACAATCCACATCCATTTGACAAATGGTGGGAGAAACGGAATAAACTCTACCAGGAGAGCCTACAACGATATCAATGTGTCCTGAAACAACTCTTAGTTCCATGTGCACACATTAAAAGGGAAGAATCCAACTGTCTTAGATAGATGTCAAGCCTGAACTTTTCCTAAATTCCAGACTTTATATGACAAATAAGGAAAAATAGCCATCTTTGCTTTCCCTATCTATAGCCTTACTTACAGAAGGTGCATAAATGAAATTCAAGGTGTGAAGATACAACTGTTTAGTGAGCTACTTAAACTCAATTATCTCTATGGAAAGGAACAAAAGAAAGGCATAAAAGTATTTGTTCCTTTAGTCTTCTGATTTAATGTGCTATATAAATGGGGGTAAGAAGATGATCAGACAGGATTTCTGCTCATTCTGAGGCCACTGTGTATTCTAATGTGGATTTGCATATAATTCCAACACTGCTGTCTGCTTAATTCAATCCTTGTGGTTTTATTTTGTTAAGCCTTTGTTATGTATGAGAGGTGTCAAATATAGTAATACAAGTTCATTGGCTAAAGTCTTTGATAGATAATCATAAGCACCCTATTTAGATTTTTCAAAAAGTACTACTTGAAGGTTTAATTGTGAACTTCACATAAAGAGTATCAATTAATGGTGCCCTTTTCAAAATAAAGTATCAAAGCTATTGATTACCAAAAAATTATATTCTGATTTTTAAGAGTGTATCTTCAATAATGACTCAAAATAATCAGTTTGATACATCTAAGCAATGAAGTGAATTGATAAAATTTGGGGGTTTCAAAACTAAAGAATATTCCTGCTCAGAATTATTATTAATTTATTAAGATTCAAAACAGAATGGAAGCCCTGCCCCCCTCCCCCCGACACACACACACAATTCCAGAAAGCATAATGACCAACATCCTCTCTTCTATGTAACTCTAACTGGAAAATTTAAACACATCAACATAATATTCATAATATGATCTCTGCTCAATTACATAGCCGTAGTACTTGGAATAATGAAACATCAGAAGAACAAACACAATGTTAGGAATTTATATTTGCTCCTTTTTGTACTGTTCACATCAGCTGTTAAATAAATTTTCTTCAATCGTGCTATTTTCCTGTCTTTGTACAATAAAACCTGTTGGGCTCTTACTTTTAAACTCATCACAACTAAACTTTTCTGCAAACCGTAACATCTAAATGGACTATTTACTCCATCAAAGCAGTATTCCCATTCTCTCTTACCTGAGTAAGAGATTCCCAGTCAACTTTGGGCTCCTCTCATGTTTATGTAAATGCTATCCATCTTTTACAATCCACATTGAATTTCCTTTCCTCCTTTGTCATGTATTATTCCATCATCAATGAACATCTGCTGTTTTTCAACTATTACAGTACCATTATACCCCGAACCACAGCATTTAAATTCAAATATGTAGTGATTTACAGTATTTTCCAATTGTTTCCTCTTGTCTCCTCATATAAACTTTTAAAAAGTGCAAACATGGCCAGGCATGGTGGCTCACATCTGTAATCCCAGCACTTTGGGAGGCCAAAGCAGGCGGATCACCTGAGGTCAGGAGTCCAAAACCAGCCTGGCCAATATGGTGAAACCCCGTCTCTACTAAAAATACAAAAATCAGCCCGGCATGCTGGCATGTGCCTGTAATCCCAGCTACTCGGGAGGCTGAGGCAGCAGTATCGCTTGAACCAGGAGATGGAGGTTGCAGTGAGTTGAGATCATGCCACTGCAATCCAGCCTGGGAGACATAGCAAGACTCCATCTCAAAAAAAAAAGAGCAAACACTTATGCTTACTTTTACCTCTATGTTGGATACCAAGTAATTTTTAGATATTATTTAACGGTAAACTATGCAAAAGGCTTTTCTCCTATTTCTCATCATATTATTTTAAAATACTTATTGAAGACCTTCTATTACTTTGAATACCAAAAATATATAATATAACCAGACTAGAGGTTTTAAAAATCAGTATTAGGAAGATGAAATTGAGATAAAGTTTGATAACAGATTATGTTTTGTGCTACTCAAGGACTACTCAAGCCACATGAGCTCCCCGACAGAGGCAGTTACTCCCCAACAGCAGTTTGGATTGAGATGACTCACTGTAGTTGACATCTTTAGCTATTCATATTCATGCATAATTTATTTTGGTTAAAAACTAGACACTAGCATTCCTCAGAACTGTGATGGCATACTCAGCAACTTAATAAAACAATTTTCTTTAAAATAATACATCCAGAAATTGAATGGACATCTCCTCTCTGAAATTGCATGGATTACAATTTCTGCTATGTAATTCAGTAGCCATAAACAAACCTTGTAAAACATAAACTAAATATGCACTCTTTTCACAATAATGCTAACTGAATGCTAGCAATAAAATTTCTAAATCATTACAAATAGGATCAAGTGATAAAAGCATATTTTAATATGTTTGTCAGGATTGCCCAAAAAAAAAAAAAAAAAAACCTGACACTTTCACCAAAGCACAATTTGTAAAATAATTACAGTACACGGACATGAAAGTGTATCCATACCGTATCACAATTACACAAAGAGAGGAGGATCTCAAATCAGTAAATTGAACTTACATGCATTATGCATTAACACTTCTAAACTGCCTCTCGTGGTGAATTCAAACTTTTACACCTCAGTTGATTAACACACACCTAGATATACCACAAAATATTGCAGCTTGTGATCCAAGGGTTCCAATTAGACAGTGTTTGTGGAAGTATCTGAATAGTTTATTGCATTGTCCTCTTATTATTTCATTTAGAAATAACAAAAGATTATATTAGTGAAAAGAATCAAAGGTCTAAATATGAACTCATTCTATATGCTGAAAGCAGCATATCTTTAAATCAGACGCTCACTAGGATTAAGCCAATTAGTTGCATGTTGACTTAAGAAGGAAATAAACATACTTTTAAAAATAGATGAAATCGCCAGGTGCAGAGGCTCATGCCTGTAATCTGCACACTTTGGGAGGCTAAGCGGGGCAGATCACCAGGGGTCAGGAGTTCAAGACCAGCCTGACCAACATGGTGAAACCCTGTCTCTACTAAAAATACAAAATTAGCCAAGTGAGGTGGCACATGCCTGTAATCCCAGCTACTCAGGAGGCTGAGGCAGGAGAATTGCTTAAACCTGGGAAGCAGAGGTTGCAGTGAGCTGAGATCACACCATTGCACTCCAGCCTGCACAACGAGAGTGAAACTCCGTCTCAAAAAAAAGATAAAAATATATGAAATCCTTAACTATATTAAGGCCTCTATAAAAAGAATGTTCATAAGGAACTTTTAGCCTATTTTAGCTCTCTGTGAATAGATGCTCCTTACAACTGTCAATTATTAAAATTTTACATAGATATATGTATAACCACTTAACAGTATATTTAAAAAAAATCTCATTTTAAAATTATGATTAATCCGATTAATCTGCATTACATTATTTTCAAAAATGTTTTACAAATCTTATCTACATTTTTCATTGTCATTTATTTCCTTCTGACTATTTCTTTAACCCATTTACAGGATAGATTAACTATCCTATCAATAAGTTAAAAACTTTAAATAAATTTAAAAAGATCTACACATTAAAAATTTTCCCCAAAAATACAATTACAGAACATGTTCACATAGTAAAGCCTGCTACTTGATTTCTTTAAGTTACGTTGCATAAGTAGAAATCTGTTCATAAGAGTTGTTTTAAGTATTTAACTGGTAATGCTTACTTTGCTGAACAAAGAGTAGAAGTGTCATATTTCTGTAAATGGTATTGCAAGTGATTTTTTTATTAGAGAGAGAAAGAATAGGAAAGGTACTTTACTACTTTATATTGAAGTGAGAACTGATCTCATCTATATGTACTTTTTCATATTCTCTTTTATAAACAAGATTCCATCTTAAATTGCTAAGCATTTGGCTCTCTTTTTAGACTCTGGATTCTATTTCTGACAGTGGCCCGTCAAAGTTATGACCTTCATCATCTCTAGTCTCAATTTTGAACAGAGTGGCCTGCTTAGAGTAGGAGTTCACAGCTTTCTTAGAGAACAAAGAAGTATGAATCAATGTAAGTCTCTGGTTTGGACAGAAGTATGTATGAAGGAAAAAACAAGTACTCTTAAACCTTGATTTTTTTTAAACTAAGTATTCTGAAAATATCCCTGCCAAGAACGTTAATTTCTTTTTAACTTTAAGGATATGTAAATATACACACATACATACACTTGCCATAACCTAGAAATTTAGAAAATGGTATGGTGAATCAAGTAATCCAATTAAGGACAATGTGATCTCCTATAAAAAGGTGCTAAATTTTGGGTCAGCGAATCTCACTTCTTGTATGGGATCCATTGCCAAGTAATTCTGTGACTGTGCAAAAGTCATTTAAATTCTTAACCCCAGTTTTCTTATCTACCAATGGAGTCAATAATGATGGTGCTATCCCTATCTGCCTATTAGAATGTTATAAAGATTTTAATTAGTAGTGGTAATAGTAATAACACTGAATGTTTACCTACAATTTTAATTTCAGAGCCCTTCCACTTATACTGCCAAATGTGATTTTTAGCTTACGAATACTCTCACATTACAAATAATGAAACTAAACACTTAAAAAACAATAAAGTCACCTGACCAAATCACACAACAAATAAGTAGCTGATCTAGGTAGGATTCATACCCACATTGCCCAACTTTAAAATCTCATATTTTCCAGTTTTCCAAAGCACCATCTTATGATTAATTTATCAAGAGGGATGGCAGACTTCAAAATACTTTATAATATGAACTCTGATTTTCTTAATCTCTTTACCCATCTTTAAAATGTAGATACCACCTCATTAAAAGAGCATAAAATGACGAAATGCATATAAAGTGCTTCGTGCACAGTTTGAAATGCATGGTGTTCAAACTACAATCTCTCTTCCCTGTGACAAGAGACCAAACTCCTTTCATATTGAAGTAAGATAAAGACAAGAAACATTGTTTGTAGTGAAAATGTTGCTTCCTTATCAAAGGTAACAAGATATACTTTTCGGTGAATTCATAGTCATGTCACTAAGAGTGGACATATGTGAGAGGCAGAACTAGGACCAGAACCCATATTGTTTGACACCTTACTGATGTACTTCATACTATTATTACTTTAAGGATAACCAGTATAAACTTCTAACAAATTATTTACCTCTTTATCTTCAGTGTAATAATATATTAGAATTATTTCTAAATGGAGCTTATATTTATCTAAACTAAGATTAAGATACCAAGAGAATTTAGTTTAGTTATAAATTAAAGATGTGAAATAGGGGAAACTGTTAGATATGTGTGTTTTCTCAAGGAATATAAACAATGAGCAAGTTAACCCTTTACTATATTCAGCTTACTGATCCAATAAATACTTTTTTTTTTTTTTTTGAGACAGAGTTTCACTCTCGTCACCCAGGGTGGAGTGCAGTGGCACGACCTAGGCTCACTGCAACCTCTGCCTCTCGGGTTCAAGTGATTCCCCTGCCTCACTCAGACTCCAGAGTAGCTGGGATTACAGGTGCCCACCACCACGCCCAGCTAATTTTTTGTATTTTTAGCAGAGACAGGGTTTCACCATGTTGGCCAGGCTGATCTCGAACTCCTGACCTCAGATGATCCACCCGCCTCAGCCTCCCAAAATGCTGGGATTACAAGCATGAGCCACCGCACCCAGACCCAATAAATGATCTTAACGGTGGGTATCTGCCTTCACAGCAGAACATCTGTTCCTATCAAGCTACTAATATATAACAACAGGCTTACTAGACATTATGAAAGCTGGCTCTCCAGAAAGATACCTGAAACATCTAGTCATTTAAAAGCTGAAGGTATAAAAAAAAAATAAAAAAAAAAAAGGCTTTGGTTCCAATGATTAAACTTATGTATGTATATAATATTAATATTACATATAATGTATATGCCTAGGTGTATATTAACACATAAATCCAGGGAATATCCAAATCATAAGAAAACAGTGCAAACTGGATCACATCAAAGATGAGAGCTAAACAGAGTGTTTGTAAACGTAATTAAATAATACATGTTTTTAAATGATTGAATTATATTTCTTTAATTTAATTAGAAAACTACTTTAAATAAAGGTAAATTCATTTTGTTATAATTAGGATATTCTCACTTTAAACAGTATGAACAATACCACAGAGATTATCAGAGAATTGCAAAAAACCCAATAAACTTTGTTTTCCAAAAACCTTATGCATAGAATCTAGGTACTTTATTTTTTTCTATTGGCTCCATGCAAACATTAGGACCAGTTAAAGCATACATGGCTGTGACAAGCAAAGAATGAACAAAGAAACTGACCAAACTTGGCATCACAGGCTTAAAATATTTCAAATCCTCATTGTTATTTAGAATGAAAAATCCCTGACATTTCACCAAGAAGAATACCAAGGCTGAAGATGTAAAAATGAAGAATCAAGTCCTTTAACCCTTTATATAATATACTTGTTTAAGCATTTGATGATTTAAAGTTTTTAAATTATACCAGTGTTAATTTTAGTTATAACATGAATTTAAAAAATAAAAAAATAGTGCATAAATGTATGGCATAAAAAGTAAAAGCCTCCCTCACTACCACCAAGCCTTCCTCTCTGGAATCAATCAGTATTAACTTTTGCTTTTAGTTTTTCTTGTGGTAGCCAATAGAATATCAAATAGTAGATTTTGATTTTATTTTTATGTATAAATTGAAAATCTAATGTATTTTTACCTTGTTATCCAAGGTGAATTTTTTCATAAGACAACATTATACTATTATCTGTTTTTAGGAATAGAAATAGCTCCTTATGCTGTGGATTTCATAAAATGCTCATTCCTTTACATCCACATTACAACAGGCAGGAGTGAAGAAAACATCTCAGAGTTATCCACACTCCTGGGTACATTCACACCCTTTCCTTTCTTAGTACCCTTACCCTTGACCCACAGCCTCAGTTAGGACTACAGCCGATTAGAATTTTAGTCACCATTAAAAATTCTAGATTGCCAAGTAACTTATCAATTTCAGACTGTAATCACCCAATAGAAGGGAGTGAGGGAACCCTACAACCCAACCCCATCCCTCTCTTGGAACATACTACAACCCTCCCCTACTTCAATTTTCTTCATAACACATTGTCATCTGTCTCACCATATGTTTTATTTATTTATGACTCTTAATAGAATACATGCTCCATAAGGGAAGGATTTTTTCAACTTTGTTCACTCTCATATTCCCAGAGTCTAGAACACACCTGAAGTATGGTAGATGTTAAGTAAGTAAATACTTTTTTTTCTTTTGTTTTTTAACTCTATGCAATCTGGGAAAATTCTAGGTCCTTATTTTTTAGACCATTAACTGAGTTCCTTTTTTTTTACCCTCAACCAGCCCATTGAAATTTGTGTATGTTAACTATAGAGAAAATATCTTCTTACATATCTCTCAGGAATAGTAAGAATTTTCTTACATTCTTTGAAGAATGAACTTTTTCCTATGAGGTTGATTGTTATTTTTGTTATTGTTTCTGTCAGTTCATATATGTCATTCATGCCATGTTATTGCTAAAATGTCTAGTTAGGCTCTTAATCCACTCATAGGTAATCAACAGTTTTTTGTCTGTTTGTAGACAGTTCTGCTTCCCCATTTGTTCTCTACTTCGAATGAGAGAAAACAGGATGGCAGGGGGTCAGTATCCAAGTAAGGACAGTTTTACTCTGATGGTAATAGTTCAGGGGATTTGACTCATAGATGAGTAATGTTCTATTTGTTTTCTTTTTTGCAATACCCCATTGTGGGAGAGAAGCATCACCTCCACTTCTATTCTTCTTTTTGAAGGTCCTAGTTTTCTCATGGGGGCCCTTCCTCAGGCAGGTCACCCTTTCATTTGTGGATTAATCTCTGGCTTTAGCCTGAAGGGGTTCCTCCTGTACCTTGTCTTCCCAGTGAAGATTAAGAAAGAGACCAATTGTCCTTTTGTTCCTACTGCAGTTCTGAAATTTATTCTTTGACTACTACCACATCCCACTACTGCTTTTTATATTTTTTGATTCCAAGTTAGGGCTTCTCTGAGGTCTCCTGACTAGCCACTTGGACAGTGGTTTTCTCAGCTCTTTTTCCTTTCCATTTTCTTTCTACCTTCAAGGAATTCTTCAACATACCAACTTATGTTTTTGGAGCTCTTTCACATTTCTTGGAATGACTATACTTTAAATCTTTTAGAAAGTGGGACTTGAAGATAGAGGAGATGAGCATTTGTGTGCTCAGTCCTCCTTTTTAAGAGGAACTGTGTGGCAGTTTTTGCTTAGAATTTAAGCTTAAAAAAAAAGTCTCTGTGCTAAAAACAGCAAGCAACTAAAAAGAGAACATCCTCTTTTCTAAAAGTTCTTTCAGTTACTTCACCATCAGGAATGTCTTACAGGCTTTCTCTCTCCACAGATTCCAGCCTCTTGACATTTGGCATAGCTCCACTATTTTCTACCAGCTCTTCTGAACAACTTCTCCCCATTTCTCTTACTAGAAAAATAAGATGCAACAGGATTATCCACGGAAAGGTCATGGGCAGTTAAGCCATTTAACCCAACTGAAGAATTTCAGTCATTATTTTTTTGTTTTGTTTATTAAGTGGAGAAAGTTTATATGAAAGTTGATATATGCAAGTCAAGGAGTTTTTTGTTTGTTTGTTTTAGCTCATTAAAGGTGGCTATGGTTTTGTTAGACAAAATATCTGGCTTCTGCCAAAAGACTTATATATGTGCCATAATGACTAAAAAAAAAATGGCGAGAAAACTTCGCTTAAATCCATTTTAATCCCTAACATTTGGTTCATTTTCAACATTCTGAAAAGTGATAAGTCGTTTTCATTTATTATGAAATTTAATAAGAGTTGGGAAAATTACCAAACATTAGGGACAGGCCTTTAGATCTCTGTTCCTAAATATATCTTGAGTGAGGCTACATACCAAAAGAGATAAAGTAAATCAACGAAAACAATATACTTCTGCCTCCAATTAGAAAGCAAACGTTCAGGTTCTGTGTCAAAATGCATGCCCAAAGAGAGGACAAATATTAGAGAGATTTATTCAATTAATGGGCCACAAGAAGAGATACAGCTATACACCCCTCTGGTCAAGGTCTAGGCATCAAAGGCCTAGGCTTGCAGCCAGTGGATTCTTAAGGTTTGTTTGGAACAGCATACATCTTGATAGCCTCCAGAGAAGGCAGTTAATTTAAAGGTGATCCTCTTCACATAGATGTTTGGGTTGCCTAAAGTGCTCATGTGTGGCAGGGTTGGGTCGGGGAGTGATGATTCGTGAGTTTGGAACTAAGGGAGTAAACATGTCCCCTTCTCTAAAGCTTGTGGCTGAGTGTAGCTAATTATCTAGTCCTTCCTTCCTTCCTTCCTTCCTTCCCAGATCTGGTAGTCATTACAGAGCCATGATGGTCACAAGCAAATATAGTCATAATTCTGATAGATTGGTAACAAAAAATATTAGAGAAATTCTTCCTTTTTTAAGGAATGTTAAGTGTATCTATTTCACCCATACATTACGCAAGCAAAGATTTACATGCATATAAACAACAAGCTGGAAAATAATAAATTCACATAATTGTACCAAAGGATGTCCCTATCTTGCATAGAAAAACTGTTTACTCAATCTGAATACTTGAGGGCAACTTGACCCAGAGTGTTACATCCTCTTTGGAAGATGCAGATTTACTTTTTCATGGATACGTATGAAAGTTATGGTGTTTTACACCACAACTGTGACAGAAGTGGTGGTTGTCCCCAAAATTTCATCAACCTTATCTCCTGTAACAGAAGCTTACAGCCTCTCTCTAGAGCTCTAACTTCTCAATTCTGACCTCCATAAAATTTAGGAGTTAGAGAAACTGGCCATTTGGTAGGCAGTATTAGAAAAGATGCCTTTCTAGAGTTCAGAATTAGACCTTTTGATTGCGTTTTTTCTTATAGGAAAAAAAATCAATGAAAGTTAAAATGAAACGATATCACTAATACTGTTGATCGAATGTCTTTAGATGGCTGCCTCAGCATCTAAGAATTTATGATACTGTTATCTATGTAAAAAAGAATGTACAATAAATTTAAAGGCCAAATTTGTTTCAAATATTAAGATCATCTGTGTTGCCATATATTGCAACTTTAAAAGCACTTCATGTATCTAAAATACCTTCTCATACAAATTTTCAGTTAATCTTCCAGTGTGTCTGGCAGAGAGCATGTTATTATTTTCATATGTCAAATGGTGCCATTGTAACAGAAAGTGTAAATGGCTTGTCCAAGTTTATTCAGTCAATAAGGAAATGCCTTCCTTTACATAGCTAGTGAGCTTCTCTACCTGCCCTTATGTTCCTAGCTTCTTCCATGCTCATTTATGTGTGTTCAAATTCTTATTATCTTTCATATTCCCAGCTCACATACTTCACCTTTCATGAAGATAGCTGTAATATCCCCCACTAATTGTGATGGTTTCTTCCTTTGACCCTGTAACACTTCATCTCTCTTCCTACCATAGGTAAACTGATTTGGAATCGGAATGATTGGCTTCTGTTTGTGAATATACTATCTGGGTGATCCTCACAACTAAACTAACTATAGTAACTACTTGAATGCCAGTTTCCTCATTGGTATAATAGAGAAGAAACACAAAATTATGGGAAGTTTAATTTTAATAAAACAAAGGACTCTGTGAACTGAAAAGCCCTATACAAACTTACTTTTTTTTTTTTTTGAGACAGAGTCTTGCTTTGCTCTGTTGCCCAGGCTGGAATGCAGTGGCGTGATCTTGGCTCACTGCAAGCTCCGCCTCCCCGGTTCAGGCCATTCTCCTGCTTCAGCCTCCCTAGTAGCTGGGACTACAAGCGCCCGCCACCACGCCCGGCTAATTTTTTGTATTTTTAGTAGAGACGGGGTTTCACTGTGTTAGCCAGGATGGTCTCAATCTCCTGACCTCGTGATCTGCCCGCCTCGGCCTCCCAAAGTGCTGGGATTACAGGCATGAGCCACCACGCCCGGCCCAAAGTTACTTTTTATAGAAATAAATATATAGATGTTCTTTTTATGTGCAACTTGTATTTCTCCTATTTATGGTTGAGAGAAGACTGCATATCTAACAAATATTTGATTCTCCCATAGCATTCAATAATGCTTTGTAACTAGGCATTTGATACAAATTAGTACAATGAACCATCAAATGTGTATCATATTAATTGAGGTAACTTTCAAAAAGTAGAAAGCTCATCACTACCTGCTAAATGTGTAAGGCTAAAATCTGACTTCAACCTATCTCCAATCTCATTGCCCATTTCTTTTCCAACACCCTAGCTAACCTACATTTATTCTTGACTCCCTAAAATATACTCTGTACTTTTGTAGCTCCAAGTTTGGGCCCAAATCATTACACTCTTTCATGTCCTATATCTATTGAAATAGTGCCCATCCTTATATGCCCAGCTCAAATGCCATTTTCCCCATGAAGTTCTCCTTAATCTCATCCCCTGGAAATGAGCACTTTCTACTCTGAAGTCCATATTTATTCATATCTCTCACAGCTCTTATAATCTGGTCACATATATTATATTTTCTTGTGCATGTATTATCTCGTGATTTTTAATCTATTAAGATCAACATTCACATTTTAGTTATCTTTATATCTCACCAAACATATAACAGAATATCTTCCACATAGTAGGTATTCAAATAATAACTGTCTTTCTTACATTGGATGTAGAAATAACATATACAGCTTAAATTTCCAGCTGCATATTTCTGCCTTGTAAATTGCCACAAAACCAAGACAAATCCAAACACTATAAAGTGATCATCTATCATCTGAAGTCATTATTACTTCACATTCCTATAAGGAGAGTATAATATGGGGAGAAACATATTTTACCAAGGCTTAAAAAGCTACATATATATATGTATATATAAAAACATATGTATATGTATATATTGTATATATAAACATATGTATATGTATATATGTGTATATATATAAACTACTTATAATCTGATTTCTTCCATAAGTCAAATGCAGCATATTCTTATTAATTGTAGTTTTATAAGTAAATGATTATTTACTTGAAAAGTTAAATTACTCAATATTACTTTTGTTTAAAAAAGTAAAGGTTACTTTAGAAAACAACCAAGAGTTGACATATTTTAAATTTGCATCATTTTTCATAAGTATCCACATTAACATAAATTACCAATGATCATCATTATTGTTATTATCATGATAGATTTCATTTATAACAAAAGTATACAAGCTTCACGTCTCAGGGATATTTAAATCATGTAATCCTTCACTGCCTGCTGTGTTACTTCCTGGGCTGTTTGCAGATGTAATGCACAGATAGCCCACTAACAGCTGTCCTCCAGACAGGCTAAATGATTTCTGTGCCTTCTCATTAAGTAGAGGCTATTAGATCTCTTACAAAAATGAATCCCTCATATTCTCTTAGAGCCTAAACCTCTTCTCTATTTATATGCTGATCATTACCTACTAAATGTGGAAAGCCAAAGTCTGACTCTAACCTATCTCCAACCTCATTGCCCATTTCTTTATACCATCTTCACTGTTTTATTTCTTAATGCCAGAGAATTTCTGAGTTTTTAAAAATGCTTTGTATCTTCTTGTCTCTTCCCCTAAAAAAAAAAAACCTCTGAATCTCTACCTATTAAAATGCTACATTATTCCAGGCCTTTTCATGCTGAACTAATATTAATAAAGTCAGTTAACTTGCTGAGAACTACTCTTCTATCCTCAATCTGAGTAAACAAACTTGTACTCATCTATATCACAATTAACCTTTTTATAATTTGATGAGTCAGAAAGTATTACCCAGCTAACCCTTGGAAACATTAAGGCTACCCAGATTCAAGCCTAGGCGATATAAACTGTCATCTGAGAAGTCAGCCATATATTCTGAACCTGCTCTAACAACTTCTTCATTTTGTGAAATGATTTAATACTGTTATTAAGGACTCTCAACATGCCCTCATTTGATATATCAGAATTACTAGCAGGGAAAAGGGATGTGGAGATTAAAAAACTATATTCAGTTTTAAGTTAAAATTGTATTCAGAATTTGAAAACATTGTCCACTTTTTTTCTAACACAAATATAAATAACATTTATGAATACCAAAATTTTGATAGGTAGGAACACCAATGTAAAAGTTAAAGCAATACCATTGTATGCTAAATAACAGTGTGGGTCTTAAATACAGAGTGAAATGAGTAGATGCCCAGCATCTTTCAATCAATTTATATTTGTCTTATATGTCAAATTTTCAGAAATTGTGGCAATGTTTGAGGCTTCTAGTCAGAGAAATGTTAAAAAAAAATTACAACTGGCAGAAAACAAAACGAACGAAGGAGGGGAGAATCCAGAGAAAGACAATGCCATCATGTCATATATGTGTTTAGTTAAGCATCATTTGTATAAGAGGATGATATGGCTGAAGAGTATGGACTCAGTGAATAAATGCACTTACCTCCGTTAAATGAGGATTGGGATTAAAACCACAGAGACTACAGACAGTGGTTTGACACTCAGTGCATGTGTTAAAATTGGCCTTTTCTGGAACATGCAACAGAAGTTCAGTGGTATTGCAAAGAGGACAGATGGTTTTAGGGAGGCCTTGTGAAGGAGGCTGTTTTGCAGATGGAGACACTGTTGGTGGCTGCAGAGGTTTTCCAGATCCTGTTTGGCTTACTGGTTTTGTAGATTGCTGAGCCGAGGGCTTTGCTGGGCTAGGCTGTTGAGCTGAGGGTTTTGCTGAGCCAGGCTGTTGAGATGGGGGTTTTGTTGAGCCAGGCTGTTGAGGTGAGGGCTTTGCTGGGCCAGGCTGTTGAGGTGGGGGTTTTGTTGAGCCAGGCTGTTGAGATGGGGGCTTTGCTGAGCCAGGCTGTTGAGGTGGGGGCTTTGCTGGGCCAGGCTGTTGAGGTGGGGGCTTTGCTGGGCCAGGCAGTTGTGAAGGAGGCTTTGTTGGGCCAGTCTGCTGGGCAGAAGTCTTTCCGGGTCCTGCCTGTTGAGCTGGAATCTTTCCTGGCCCAGGCTGCTGAACTGGAGTCTTTGTAGGCCCAGGTGCCTTAGCTGGAGACTGTAGCCCAGGTTGTTGAGCTAGGGGTTTTGGTGTCCCCACCTGCTGGGTTGGAGGCTTTGCTGGCCCTGGCTGTTGAGCTGGAGTCTTTCCAACTCCAGGAGGCTGAGCTAAAGCCTTTGGCCCAGGCTGCTCCGATGAAGGCTTCTCTGACCCAGTCTGCTGAGCTGGAGGCTTAGCAGGACCAAGAGGCTGAGCTGGAGGCTTTGTTGTCCCTGGTGGCTGGACTGGGGGTTTCACTGTCCCTGGTTGTTGAGCCAATGGCTTTGTTAGCCCTGAGGGCTGAGCTGGGGGCTTTGCAGGCCCAGGCTGTGATTTTTCATGTCCAGGCTGCTGTGCTGGAGGTTTTCCAGGAGTTGGTTGCTGAATAGGTGGTTTGGATGGGCTTGGCAGTGAGGGTTTAACTGATTCTCCCCTTACTATGTCTGCCTGTTTAGTCTGAGGCCTGGATGCATCTCGTTGAAGTGGCAATTTTGCATGGTCTGTCTGAGGAGTCTGGGTAGGACCCTGAATTGGCTTTCCTGTACCTGGAGGTTGTGATTTAATTTTTTCTGGTTGTTGAGAAGATATTGATTTGGGAGTGCCATCCTGCTGAAGCGGATCCCTACCAGGTCCTTGCTGCTTAGGAATCGGCTTGGGTGGCTGTTGTTGTAAAGGAGGTTTTATGATTCCTTCAGGTTTTCCTTGCTCCTTCTGAACCACTTTTTGTTTCTTGGTGGTTTCTTCCTGGGATGCCTCAGAGTCTGATATCAAATCAAAAGGGTTGAATTTATTTACAACAGAGGAAACAGCACTTAAAGCGTTAACCTCTGAGAGGAAGCCAGGCATCATACTAGACTTGTGCTCTTCCTTTAAATCAGTTCTGGACTTTGATTCTTTCAAGCTAATAGTGGAAGGACTCCTCCCAGGCAATTTCTGCTCTGACCTGAAAGTGTCTGTAGTTCTACTTTTACTGAGACCAGGTTGAGCTGGACGCCCAGGGTCCGGGGGTCTTCCTGATTGCTTTGGAGGATGACTACTATCCAACTCTTGTTTCCTAGAAGAGTTAAAAAAAAAAAAAAAAATCAAGTGAAAATAATGGAAATTATTTCAAATCAAAGTAATACAAAAAACCTATTGCTTATATCTTCAAAATTATGAATGTATAAATATAACTAGAACCCATTTTTGTAGCATCCTTTAAGTGATCATAAAAGTTTTAATGCTTTTTTTTCTTTCTTTAAATGGGTAGAGATTTTCAACAAGCAAGTGAAGAAAAAAAAACTTGCTCTTATGAGTGATAAAAATTAAAATATATAATTAGAAAATACTTATAATAAAAGTAATTTACCTTTGCACTTAATAGAATCTGGCCTTAAAACTTAACTAAATATAGGTTTAAATTAAAACCTCAATAAATCAATACAGAGTCATATTATAAGGCATACATGTTCACAGAGTGTATTTTTTTCTTTTTATCAAAAGTTATGGTCTTTTGATATAAGAAAGTCTTCCAAATGCTAGCAGCATTGAGAATTAAAAATATTCATTTTTAAATATAGGAGTCTGCTGAGACTTCTTAAAAATTTCATTTTGAGAATTTACATGAACTAAATAGGGAATATAATGTGAAATAAGGGGAGTTTCTGATAATGGAGTTTACATGATGCTTTCCCAGGAATGCTAAAAAGTTTATAATCTATTTAATTTTACTTGGGCTTCTAGTGATCCAGGTCACTAGCCAGGAGAGACTGGGACACAGACGTGGGCACCTAAAATCATGACAGTCCCAGAGAGTGACTGGGGATTATCCCCATGCCTCCATCTAGAAAGGCACCATTCATCAAATATTATCCTTATGAAACATTACAGAATGAGAATTTCTACATTCATTATTTAGACATTCTTGAGGAACAACCCCATCTTTATTATTGAAGATCAGTGTTATCTTTTTTAAAAAATAACTGATTATTAACCCAAAATTTTTATGGGAAGCATAATAGATGCTTAAATCATCTTGAGATATATCTTGGTATCCATATATCTTACTTAGTGTTTGCTACACTATCTCTTAATGCCATTGATTGATTATTAGTAATCTAATTTATTATTGACATTGAGATTAAATGTAGCAAGTAGTTAATTTTCAAGATACATCTTAATGCATAGACAAATATACAAGACATATTTTTTAAAACAGCCTTGGAAACATGATACATTTTAAATGACTATGGTTAAATAATTAAAATAGGAGTTTCTTATTTTTTATATATCTATTGTTTTAGCCAAAAGTCATATTAAATACAGAAACTTTTAAAATAATTCATACTTTAACTTTTAAAATAATTCATACTTTAGTGATAAAGTTGCAGCTAAAAGAATATTCTGAATTAGAATTATGGAGAAAATCATATTATAAGTATTTTATTTGATATATGAGGCTTTTTAAATTTTGAAAAATGTTTCTTTTTAATTAAAGGAAACAAGAATAAAGAAAGTAACTTAGTAGCACCTAAAATATAATATCAGAATAAAGATTTATAGGTTCTAATTGGGTTTACCAAAATTTACCTGCTAATGAGACAGACTACAAATATTTTATTTCATATTCAATACTTCTTATGAATTAACTTTTTCCAAATTTCCTGACATAGAAATTTGAGTACAGGTCAGGATGTAAGAGATAGCAGAAAGACGCAAAGAAGCATTACTTCTAGGTAGCAAGCACTTAGAAGAAAAGAAAATAATCTATAAATGGCAACGTATGCATAAAGTGATTTTCTGGTAAAAGACAAATAAGTAGATTCTGAATTTTTGAAATTTCCTCCAAGGAAAAGTTTACAAAAATATATATATTCTACCATGTCTCTCAAGGCTTTACTTAAACAGAACTAAAAGTGTTACCCTAGTTAATTCCAATAGTTCCAAGCTAGCTCTTAAAATGGACTGCTACATATTTCCATTTGGAGAAAATCATTCTGAACATTTCTTTATAGGTACACTATTCAGACCTTGACATTATTCTATAAATCTTCTATATTTACTTAATATATTGTACCATTCCCTTGAACAGCACATGCTTAGGGCTGATTACAGGTATGGCAATCCTATGAGTAATCATTAGGCATTTTATTTAAATAACTTCCCTGTACAGAGTCCTATAAATCTAACTTTAAGCAGAGTACCAAAAAAAAAATCTACCTTAATTATACTAAATTCTTCTCTCTTGAAAATACTACTAAACTTATTTTAATCATTGTTTTAATATTTCACTTAATCCATCATATTTGTAAAACAACAAAAAATAAACTTCATGAATGTCAAATATTTGTGATAATCAGAAACAGAATTGAAAGCAAGCTGCTTGCACCAGGAATTATAATTGCATGTACTTCCTACAAATATAAGTTGTACTTTACTATAGAATCCCCATCAGAAAATAGGCATACAACCCTAAAGACTGTCTTATAATTTAAACTTAGTTAGTTGCTATAACTATGTAAATAAAAGTAAAACACAGAGATCTTTGAGTGGGAAATGGAAAGAAAATCAAGAGAAAAAACTGCCAATACCAAACAAAAACGTAAAGGTGCTGCTGTCTTTTGGTGAAATTTTGTTAGGCATAACAGTTTTACTGTTAAAAAGAAAAGTGATTAAAATGCAATCTCTGCCTTGTATACTAGACTGTGAACTCCTAGAGAGAAAGGATATATTTCACTTATCTTTGCATCATTAGAACCAAGTCTGGCAACTAGTAGATGAGCATTAATATTTGATGAATTAATGAATAAGTGGATGATTAACAATGAGTGAACCAAGGAATAAATATATCATGTATTCGTTTTACTTTAATGTTTCTTGAATTGCTTTCACTTAAAATTCTTCTACAGGCCTTGAGATATAAATGGATAAATTTCATATTCTCTTTAGAACCTGGATTTGGCCTGCACCTTTAGGAAGAAGCCCAGTAGGGAAGGCTGAAAGTAGTAAAGAAAATAATCAGTTCAGTCAGAATTCTTATTAAATATTCTACTAATCAGAGAATTTTTTTCAATAAAGCCCTTCTCATATGATATATCTGTAACTGTAAATAGAAAGAGTAGAAAAAGTAATGAAATTGCACTTCTCTGGGTCTACAATGAACAAAAAATCCATGAGCATTTCATTTGTAACCTGTCTTCTACTGCTAGCTTGTAACTACTTATATTTAGTACTACACCTCCCTTTTCATTTTACTATTGTCATCCTTGGATTAGAATTTTTCTTTCAAATGTTAGCAGAAAACAAAATATTTCCCCTAAGATGAGGAAAACATATATGCAAAATGTAGGAATGTAAAAGCATCTGAGATAATAAAATTTTTCATAAATGGAACACAACAAACAATGACACTTGACAGTGCTGAGTCACATAAAATTTTATAATATTAGAAATATAAGCAACTTTGGGACTATCTGTTAATTTTTATATATTATATAAATAAATGAATATCTATGCATTTATGCTCTAAGTCCCAGGATATAGGGACTAAGAGAAGCAAAGTGACTAATTCAAGGTCATAAAACTAGTTAGTCACAGAAATCTGGTATCCTCACTCCTGGTTTGTGGGCAGAGGAGGTGGTTTACACCCCATTGAACTGATTTTTCCACATGTAAAAGAAAACTGACACATCAAAATAACCCAAAAACAATGTACAATTCAACAATTTGTCTGTAGCCATCGGTGACAGTGTCACCCATTGCTGATACCGATATTGCCACTCTTTACATTTGTAGGGTTTGTGTAAATTACAACTCAAACAAAAACATTCATCTCAACTTTTAATTGATCCTCAATGGACTAAGACAGGTGAGATAGGTATTAGTAGCCTTATTTAAAGGCAAGGAACATGAGACACATTGATTGAGAAGTATTTGTAATTTGCTATGAGTTGGTCAAAATCAATAGGATAAAAACCCATGCTGTCAATCTTTATTTTTAAAATTCTATGTTCAATTCACACCACTTAAATGCTTAAAACTTCAAATAATTTGTGTATGCCGTCCTATATTAATTAAATTTACATAACTCTATAACTTTAAAAGTCTAAGTGAAAAACCAAATGTTTCTTTGGTAACCATATATAGGGAAAATAACTTTTAAAAAGTTATGTACCTTTTATAGAAATCTTTCAGTAAAATGTAAGAGTAAGTTGCAAAGGTCAGAAAATTATTATTTATTTTTTAGTATTTGGATGAAGTTTTCACCAATACTGTTTGGGCCATACACTAACTATTGATAAGATTTCCATCATAATAAAATTATCAATAGAGAGCTTTAAAAGTATACTATCTGATGCAAATAGTGCATGAAGCAACAGTTTTATAGGTGGAAATAATGTTTCTCAGCCACCTTCTAAACAGAAGAAAAGTTAGAAATCTAGAAATCAAAGATCTCACTGTAACTGGTATTGGTAACCAGCATGATAGACCTGTTGCTTGTGCCTCTTAGGAAAAAATATAAAAGATCTGGCATACAGTTCTAAAAGGCTAATAAAAGTATCATACCTTGTTATTATCCTGTGAAAGTCTACTGAATGAACACTAAATTTTTTTTCTTGTCAAGTTTTCATCAAGTAGAGGAAAACAGTACATATCATAAACTGGATAAGAGAACAAGAAAGACTTTTTCCAAATAGCCCCATGGATTACTAGTTTAAAAACACAGAAAAACATATTTAACATAAAGGGGCTAGTTTTCACTAGTACTAGTAGTTTCAAGATAAACAGACTTTTTACCTGGTAGATTTTAAGCATTTAAGATTTTATGTGAAAATATTGTCACTATCCATAAAACATTTTACATTTCTCCTATAATTATTTGGCAAAATTATGCTTACGTGATAGTGACTAAGTTAATTTTTTTTTTATTTTATAAAGTGGAGGATAAGGATCTACACCTATATATCCAGGTCTTTCGTGCTTACAGTATCTCAAATGAAAAATTGTAGGTTTGCCTTCAGTTGTCATAAAAGAGGAATTGTTTCAGAACCACGGACAGAAAACTGTTCTCTACTAGAGGGTGCAAAGTTAAAGGGTTTGTTTACAGTAAGAAAGGCAAGGCAGGCACAATGATTATACCCCTCTCAGTACTCTAATTAGAAAACAACTAATCTATTGGGATGAAGGAAAATGGAGAGTTACAGGCGGAAATGAAAACATTCATATTACTGATTAGCTCTTATACTTGCCTATGCAAGTTGCCATTTATTTGCTTTGTTTTTAAAAGTATGTATTGAAAATTATTTTCTAAGGTAATAAAATTCACATGTTCTTCCCTAAACTGAAGGCCACTTTTGCATAAAACAGAGCAGTGGCTTAAAAATAGCATATGCTAATTTAGAAATATATGTACAGCACCTGCTCTGCTGTGACCAAACCATCTGTTTAATGCCACACATATTTTAGGGTTCCTCAATGAATATAAAAGGTATATTCATTCTATTCCTTCTACCTAAACAGCTTCTGCTCTCCTCTGGGGGTGGGGTGGCAAGAGAGGACAAATCACCTACAAGGGGATTAAAGTTACAGAAATATTTAGACATCATTCACAGAGAAAAAGACCCGCAATGGCCAAGAGGTTTAAACAGAGACAGGTAAACACCCAGCTCTATCCATTTCCTAACACGTCCGTGTTGTATTAATGGAAGACTTCCAGATTAGTAAAACACTGGAGGGCGTCTCTCCACGCCATCCTAGAGGGGAAGGGCTACAAAAGGCCAAAAATCACAACCTAAAATCACAGTTCCAAGAATGTAACCCTTGACTATCCCACCAGAAACTCTACAATGCATCATTTTTATTCCGCCCATCACAAGGCTTAGGATCTCTCTATGGCCACCCCACTGGGGAGAATAAAATGAACGGAGGCGACATATATGTACCGCCGTGCTGGCACATACAGGCTGGCACATATGTGCACGGGAAGCTGTACATATATGCCCGGACATATACATCATGCTGTGCATGCCTGTGCATGGAAGGCGACTCCGCAGCGGCCGGGGGGACGCTTCCCTTGGGCAGCCCCTGCGCCCTTGACATGACAGCGGCGATCTGTCTCCTCTCCTCTTCGCTCAGCTGGCTCAAATCCGCCTCCATGCCGGCCGGGATCGCGGTGTGAGAGGGGCTCCCCGCCCCGCTAGCTCCTCCTCCAGCCGCTGCGGCCGCCGCCAGCCCTTCGGGGAGCCCTTCCCCTTCCAAGCTCGCCTCGTTGCCCATGGCTCAGGGAGACTCGGGGCCGCCGCGCTCCCTCCTCGCGCCGCGTCCCAGTCGAGAAGCCCGCGGCCAGGGGAGCAGTCAGAGCCGGGGTCCGCCTCGGGGCGTGCAGGCAGCCGAGTCCCTGGACTCTGGACCAGGCACTGCCGCCCGGAACGCCAGGCAGGGGTTAGTCCCGCTCGCAGGTAACGCCCGCTGCCGGTGCCTCCTCCATGTTGGACAGCGCCAGGCAACCTTTGCAGAAGACACCTCCCGGACGCCGCCTCGGCGCCCCGAGCCGGGGAGAAGCAGATCTGAGCGGTGCCAGCCGGGCGCCGTCCGCCCCTCCCACCGCGCACCGCCTCCTCGCCCGCGCCCTCTCAGTGCGCAGGCGCCTCTCGGAACAGGTGATGCCCGCGGCCCACGCCCACCCCATCCTGCGTCGCTCCGGATCCTTCCTCGCTCTCAGCACCGATTTAAAGGAGCCCAGTGAACGCCCGGCTAAAAACAGGGAAGAAACAGGCGACGTTTCTTTCAGGCATATTTCAGGATGCCTCACTGGAGTTTTAGCTTACTAGACACCTAGATTTAAAGGGGGCGGGAGGGGCAGGAGAGGAAATGTCTGTTTTCAGCTTTGGCTCCTGGGATTTGTAGTTTCATTTATTTTCTTTAAAAGAAGGTTTTAAAACATTCTAGGAAAGGGTTCAAGTAACTGAAGATTAGCAAGAGAGACCCTGATACCTTTGAGGCACATTTCCCAAGGGAGCTAAGAATGGCCCTTTTCATTTAGAACTTTCACAGAACAATTAAATTGTTAATTAGATTATTTAAAATGATACAATATTAGTAAGCAGCTAAGGTTTTGAGTGCTTATAACTAGTTCCCTAAAGGGAGGGACTACACAATAATAAAGGATTATGGGAAGTTGTGGACGTGGGGTTCTGCAGTAATATCGAGATTGTAAAAATATTAAAATGTTTTAGTATGAAAGTTTGAAAACATGATTTTATTCCCCCGCCCCTTTTTTAACAAATGTGGACAGAAGAACCCCACGAAGTTCATTTAATGTGTGACTGTTAAGTTACAGTCACACAATTGGTTAGCAGCACGTTATCATAATAACCAGTTTTTGAGACCCACTTTCGACTATCACTCCTACACTTTTCTTGCTGTTACATTTCTTAGACGGGACTGTTCAGCACTGAATCTGCAGCCTCAATGTTGTTACCTACGTTTCCTCAGAATGTGAACTTAATGTCTCAACTGTTGAGGTTAGGTAATAGAGACTGAATAAATAAATCAAACAGAAATGAATAAGTTGCTCAGAAAGTAAGTCCAGGTTTTTGCAATAATCATTACATAGTTCGATCTTCTACCTTCCAAAGTGAATTTGTAGTTTTACAGTATAAAAGCACGAATAATTACAACTGATTTTTTTTTAAATGACAAAAATAATGCAGTCTCTTATGAGGGAACCAAATGCTAACATCTTTTGTAACAAATGCCGAAAAAAAATGACATAGTGTATATTAATACCCGTAACTGCTTTTGTGTGTGATGTAATGAGTAATAAAACTCAAGCTATTCTCATCCTTCGTATGTTTAAAAGTCCATGCATTTTTGTGTATGTATGAATATATACGATTGTATAACTATAGACAATATGGCTTATAATTTTTATATAGGTGCATATGAAGGTCTTTAATTAATATTCCTTCCTAACAGAAGGTGAGAGAGGATTGTGTTCATTGAGTGGAGCAAGAACCTGCAGTGGCTTAAGGTCCGACGCTTCATTTTTTGTTAAGGCCGAGTTACTTCTGAATTGCTGCTCTCAGCCATTTTTGTTAGCTCTACTTTAAAGTGGGATTTACAGTTAGAGTGGAAGAAATTCAAGTAAGGTTACAACTGATTATAAACTGGCTTCTCAATTTTGAGAGAAAAATCACGAGAAGTATTTTAGTGAAAAGTTTGATAAATTTAATTTTGAATTCTTAATATCTGAACCATCAATTTTTTCCTTTATACTTAGTCCAAAGTGTATCTGTAATTTAAATAAAAGAAAAACTCGTATTTAGAATGTGTTCCTATAGACATACAATGTATAAAATATTAAGTAATAAAATTAGTTTTGTCACTTTACAATATTTGTAAATTGAAAAATATTAATAAGTCATGAAGTTATAACTTAGATGATCAGCATTATTTATTCAACCATTTTATAAATGGAGTTTAGAATTTAGAACCCGCTTTTTGGAGAAAGGGTACATGTGTGCATGTCTTATACTTCAGGTTTTTTCTGTTGACGATGTCTGGTTTTAAATCCTAGCTCTGCATTCTTACAGCTATTTGGATTGGTAAGTCACTGACTTTTCAGATGTTGAGG
This sequence comes from Homo sapiens, assembly GCF_000001405.40. Classification (NCBI taxonomy): domain Eukaryota; kingdom Metazoa; phylum Chordata; class Mammalia; order Primates; family Hominidae; genus Homo; species Homo sapiens. The sequence goes on from NC_000007.14 coordinate 83,164,952, forward strand.
TTCCTCAACTGTAAGAACAGAGAAAATAATACTACTAACATTACTACCTCTCAGGTTTGTTGTGACAACTAAATTAGAAAAAGCTGTGAATGCACTTGTAAACTAGAAATATGTTATCAGAATGTGGTATATGGTTACCAGGCTAGCCTGGGAAATTACTGAGTCTTCCATGCTCTGAAGAAGCCAAGGAGGTGGGACACATGGAGAGAGGATCCTAGCTGCCTCGGCTTCGTCCATCTCAGCTGAGGCTTTAGTGAGACCCCCGCCCCCCCGACCGCCTTAGCATAACCTACCCCAGCTGAGCTACCTACTGGCTACAATGACATCAATGAACCCAATGAGACCAGCAGAAGAACTACACAATCAACTGAAAGAATCAGAGAATTAATAATAATAATGATAATAATAAGATGCTTTTTTAAGTCAATAAGATTTTTTGGGGGGGCTAGTTAAGCTATATAACTGATATTCCAGGTTTTGCACATTATGATTATGCATAAGCCTTCAAAGTTTCCCTTCACTCTTTTAGTGACTTTTCTCAGTTACTGTCCAGCTGCACTTGAGTTGTTTGTTCAAAATTTCCAAATACCACCCTTCTAAACTATAAAGTGGAAAAGAACACAATTATCTTGAATACTTATATGCGTGTTTCATGAAAGGCTCAAACAAGAAAGTATATGTGAAGATGACTTTTAAACGATGTAGCATTACCCAGACGTAAAGTTATATAAGAAATGGAAGATTTGGCATGCCCTGGTGGCTCACACCTGTAATCCCAGCACTTTGGGAGGCCAAGGCGGGCGTATCGCGAGGTCAAGAGATCAAGACCATCCTGGCCAACATGGTGAGACCCTGTCTCTACCAAAATACAAAAAATTAGCCGGGCGTGTTTGCATGCCCTTGTAGTCCCAGCTACTCGGGAGGCTGAGGCAGGAGAATCACTTAAACCCGGGAGGTGGAGGTTGCAGTGAGCCGTGATCACACCACTGCATTCCATCCAGCCTTTGAACAGAGCAAGACTCTGTCTCAAAAAAAAAAAAAAAAAAAAAAAAAGAAAGAAAAGAAAGGGAAGATTTATTTATAAGAATTTTCTGAGGAACATCAATGTATTTATTTGAGAATTCGTTTGGAGTCAGGTGACACTCTCAAGGTCCTACTCAAGAGGATTAGACTATAGGTTTACATCCCTGGGTAAAATGCTTGGGGTCAGAACTTCAAAATTATTTGTGGGATTTTACAAAGTTAATAAGATAAACTGTACATTATATAATAGTACTTTTAATATTTATCCAGGAAAACCTGTTAATAGTCACATTTACCTCTAAAGGAGTTAAGATGAAATCAACTAGAAGATGCTCAGTTTTTCTGAGTCTGGTGATGGATTGGAGTTCATACATACATATATAGATGGAGTTTTGCTCTCGTTGCCCAGGCTGCAGTGCAATGGCGCGATCTTGGCTCACCGCAACATCCACCTCCCGGGTTCAAGAGATTCTCCTGCCTCAGCCTCCAGAGTAGCTGAAATTACAGGCATGCGCCACCACACCTGGCTAATTTTGTATTTTTAGTAGAGACAGGATTTCTCCGTGTTGGTCAGTCTGGTCTCGAACTCCTGACCTCAGGAGATCTGTCCGCCTTGGCCTCCCAAAGTGCTGGGATTACAGATGTGAGCCAATGCACCAGGCCTGGAGTTCAGATATTTTTAAAACAGCATGGGCTTATTTAAGTGTTCTGTAGAATAAAGATAAAACAACTTGAATTGGTAAGGTAGCATGAATTGGAGGACAAAAGTAGAGAAATCTATAAGAGAAGGAGGGGACTTGATGCCACTTATTTTTGAAAAGGGAAAGAGAAATGTTCCCACTCCTAGCTCCATTGGCAATATGGCCTACGGGACTTTGTAGGACCAACATGTCAGTGAGGCTGCAAGATGTTTTCTGTGGACTGTGCACTGTAAAACCCTGCCTTGTCTCTCTCATGCAAAGGCAGGAATGTCTATGTTGCTTAAGTGTTTGTACATTGTGATGGTTAATTTATGTGTCAATTTAACTGGCTTATGGAGTGCCAGACATTTGGCTGAACCTTGTTTTTGGGTGTGTCTGTAAGAATCATTCCAAATGAGATTAGCATTTGAATCTGTGAATTTAGCAGATTACCCTCCCCAATGTGGGTGAGCATCATCCATCCTATTGAGGGCATGAATAGAACAACAACAACAACAACAAAAAAGCAGAGGGAGGGAGAATTTCTTCCTTTCTGCTTGACTACTTGAGCTGAACATCAGTTTTCTGCCCTTAGACTTAGCTTTACATCATTGATCACCCAACCTCCGGGTTCTCAGGCCTTCATGCTCCAACTGAATGATATCACCAGCTTTCCTGGGTCTCCAGCTTGCAGATGGCAGATCGTAAGACTTCAGCCACTATAATTATGTGAGCCATTTTCTTATTTTATAACGTGTGTGTGTGTTTATACACATATATATGTGTGCATATATATATATTAGATATAATAAAAGATAGATCCATATAGATACATATCCAAATATATAGACAGATAGATGATAGATAGGTAGATAGATAGATAGATAGATAGATAGATAGATAGATAGATAGATATAAGTATATGTCTCTCCATCCGATTGGTTCTGTTTCCCTGGAGAACTTTGACTAATAATATATGCATGGGTTCCTTGAGAAAGGATGGGGTGAGAGTTCAAGGCATGGAAAGAGTGCAGGGCTTTGTATCCATGTAAATACACGTTAAAAATATTTGCAATATAGATATCATGTACATACACAGGAACTGAGAGAAAAAAGACATCTGATGTATATGTTTTAGTCATTATCATATGTACTAAAATGTAAGGTTTATTATGGTTTTCAGAAGGCCCCATAATTTTCTCATGTGTTAATTACAACCTAATAATCTTTCAGGTAGGTTCTTAGCAGCAGCGTGAAAACAGACTGATACACTCATTGACCTCCAAACATACCATGCAAACCTCTTCTTTAGTTCTGCTCTTCATCAGCTTGGCAGGATTGTCCCCTTTCCTCTATCCATCTGTGCATTTTTCAAAGCCAGGCTTAAGGCCCATTCACCACAGTCAGACCTTTCCCTATTCTGAAGCCACTATTATTTTCAATTATCATTTGAGAATATTATTATTTATTTAATATTTATTTAAAGATCATGTTGCTTTATTTGCTTAATTGTTTTCAGTACTGATTTCTTAAAATGATGCAAAATATTGCTGTTTCTTTTGCAATACCATCACTACCTAGTGCACATAGTGAATGCTCAAATCAGCAGACATCAAATGCATTGCTTAGTGACCAGTCTTCAGGTTAAAAGTGTAAATAATGCAAAAACTGCAATAGGTTGTTTTGTAGAGGACATCTATAAAGGGAAAATAAAGGAATTCTTTTGTTATGATTAAGGAATTATCTTTTATAATTATACAATTTTAACCTATACATATTATATTACATTTAATATATTACAAGACCCTCTGTTAAGTATTTTCTCAATTTTATATTAATTCTTCTGACAATCTTGTCATGTACTATTGTTTTGTCCATTTTAAAAATTAAAAAGTTGAGATTCAGAAAATTTATTTAAATTTCTTTAGTTCATTTAACCAGTAAATGACAAGAGAGAACTCAAACTTAGCTTAACAAGAATCTAAAACCTACTCCTTTCTCCCTTTTATTAAAATGCCTCCAATTTCTAATAGGAAAAGATAGTCCTGCTAAAGAATGTATAGACCCATGGGATGGTACTTCTTGTGGCTACTTTTAGGGCTTGGTAGTGCATTAAGTATATTGGAAATGTATATACATTTTTAACAAGCTGTCTAAAACATATAATAATAATTGGAAAATGACACATAGTACTTTAACTATTTAAGAAATATTCCATGCAGCCAAAAAGAAGAATAAAAAATAAAGATATTTACTGAGATTGTGCACATGTACCCTAAAACTTAAAGTATAGTAATAATAAAAAAATAAAGATATTAATATGGTTTGGCTGTGTCCCTACTCAAATATCATCCTGAAATATAGTTCCCATAATCCTCACATGTCATGGGAGGGACCTGGTGGGAGTTAATTCAATCTTGGGGACAGTTACCTCCATGCCGTTCTTGTTATAGTGAGTGAGTTCTCGCGAGATCTGATGGTTTTATAAGGGGCTTTTCCCTGCTTTGCCCTGCATTTCTTCTTGCTGCTGCCGTGTGAAGAAGGGCATGTTTGCTTCCCCTTCCACCATGACTGTAAGTTTCCTGAAGCCTCCCCACCCCTGTGGAACTGTGAGTAAATTAAACCTCTTTCCTTTATAAATTACCCAGTCTTGGGTATTTCCTTATAGCAGCTAAGAATGGGCTAATACAGATGTTGAAAAAAACGCAATAATAAAACTTCTCACTATTCTAATTTCATAATATTATTCATTAAAAATATTATTATCAATTTGCCATGTTTTATCTGCACTTAGGGTTAGATATCTTTACCTCAAGTCATAGAGCAATAATTTTATCATTCACCATTTTAGGAGCCATTTGGAGAATGTTTAATTTTATGCCAACCAAGTTCTAGATTTGCCAGGTTAACTGTTGATGAGTAAGTGCCAAGGATGGAAGATATTTTATGTAATTCTGCCTGAGGCTTCCCATGTCTTTCCCCACTCAACTTACTGCTCACGTAGAAAGATCAGTGTCAGCTGTTGGCAAGATGGTCCATCATCTGTCTGTAATAATAATATTTCATGTTTTCTAATGGCCTTCATTGCAGGGGTCTCAAACTTTTGAAACCTGATAGCCATGTAATACTGCAGTAACCATGGTTGGTTTCACAAATTTTTAAACTGTAGAAGTGAAGCAATGATCCATTCTCCAGCATAACTCTTGAGTCACTTACACTTGCCACTAGAGAAGTTTAATTTTTCACACATTTTATCTCATCATTCATCTCATAAGGCCAAAGATATACCAATCACAGATTCAAAAGCTGAGCCCTTCAAAGAAAAAAAATAATTGTATCAATATAATAAATGACACTCCAAGATAGATCATCATGGTCTTATTGATTTTCTTGCAATTCTTGGCAGGAAGTGGTGGCTATTTTTAATCATAGATAGTAAAAGACTCAAAGAGAAGCTGTTCTAGAGATTTTCCATAGAAGAAAGGCTCTTTCTGAAGTGATGAATATAGTTTCTTTCTAGGCATTTGTATTTTCATTCCATTCTCAAAGACAACCTGAGGAAAGATGGGCCATCTACTGTCAGAAACATGGCCGTACCTTACAGCTTACCAGTTGGCTTTAGGTGGCCAAGAAGCAGACATCCTGAGGAAAGATGGGCCATCTACTGCCAGAAACATGGCAGTACCTTACAGCTCACCAGCTGGCTTTAGGTGGCCAAGTAGCAAGACTTGGAACTCTGTCTCTTGCCTGCTTGCCCGTCTCCCTTGCCAGTTAGTGATGATCTCCTAGTTTTGTTCAGCAGGGCAGAATTCCTTCATGCAGCAACTATTTAAACCACCTACTATGTGCTGATGCTAGAGGTATAGTGGGATGCAAGAGAGACCTGGTTTCTGTGCTTAGAATTTATATTCTAGTTGGGGAGACAGACTTTTAAAAAAAACTATTCCATCTTTCTGGGGAGAGTAGGGTTCTTAGACCTTCCACATAAGCATCTAAGAGTTTGTAGGAAAACAGACTGTCAAACCTGACCCCAGACCTACTGCTTCAGAATCTGCATTTTAACAATATCCCCTGGTGATTCATGTGCACCTTACAGTTTGAAATAAATAATAAGAATGAACTCTAAACTAGATCAGTGAGGATGGGTAAGGAGACGTATTGATGGAAGAGCAGATGTTATATATTCTGATTTTAGAGGCCTTAGACTGGATAAACAGACTGCAGTTTGTAACTTAAGCACCCGGAAAGTGCTGCTTCAACATGCTTTTTCAATCCCATGGCATACACAAAGCTGATTAGGAAACAGAAACAATATTATGTAACTCTTTTTTCCCCTGTATGCTATTGGCTTAGTGAATGTGGGCATTTAGACTGGGCATATATTTGGTTATACTGGAGTTGTAACTGGAATTCCGTATTTGAGCCTGGAACTGGTCCTTATTCTGCTGAGCATATTATAAGATAGAGTCTTTTTGAGGTGTGATGAGCAAGGCTAAATATAGAAGAGAATTTAACAATGTTTTAAAAACTAGAAATTTTTATGCTACTCTGATAAATGTCAATGTCACCTTAAGCATGAAGATAGGCTATTAAAACATTTCACAACTTCTTTTTATCATCTATTATTTTTCTGAAAATACTGTACTGTAATTTGTTCCCAAAACATTGATTATCACATGCAGAGCCAATATTAAAACACAATTAAATTTAAATTTAAAACAAATGAAAACAGGAAGGGAACAAAACTTTGAGTTTAATAAAGGGAGAAAAATTCATCTTGAGAATTGGGTTTAGGCAAAAATGTTTGGGAAGTTTTAGAAATCCTTATTAAGGTATAGGTCAGGATAATATGGTGATCACATGTCCATTTCCCCTTCAGAAGTGACTAGAGATGAGAAGCCAAGTGCCAGGGGACTTAATGTGTTCCATGGATATGTTTTGTCCTCCCCACACAGTAATTTTTTATGTGCTATATTTTTAAATTGGCAGATTGCCCATTACAAATTATAGATTTCTTATTTCTTTGGAAAAATGAAGTCTGAAGCACCAAGTACATTATTACTTGGCAACAACCAACTGCAGTTGGGTAGCAGCCTTCTCCTTTAAACCCGCACCCACCTGGCTTCTTAATTTATGTTCATAGCCTGTCTTCTGCAGTCATTATGTATTTGACTGTTCTACAATCTCCGCTTCTCGCTAAGGGAGGACACAATCTTTCTACCAATTAGAAATATCTAGCTAGGGCTTACAAATTTCATAATTGATTTTAGTCCTGTCTGCTGAACTACATTTTTAAAAGATAGAGGACAAGATACACAATATATTATAGACTTCAGCCACATTTTCTTCTTTGCATCTCCACTAATTCCTATTATTGATTTTCCTTTGAGCACATTGGTTTGTGCGCCTGAATTATAAGTAGTGACAGGTTGAACTTCCTCCACTCCTGTATGTGTCAGAGTTGCAATTAACAATCATGTAGGTCAGATAATAGTGATGACAATATAAAGGAAAAAATACTTCCTCCTAACTTAGTCTCGGAGGTTTTCTGTAGTGAATATGTTCCTTTACCTACAAAGAATATTTGCTTTCAAAATAATTTCTAATAAATGTCATATGTCAACTCACTTTCCATGTAACTATTTCTATTTCTAGAAATCTGTTTAAGGTCAAGAACTAACATTAGTTACTCTTCTTTTATAAGCCTCTGTCGATGGCGTTCATAAATTCTACAGGTCTTACTAACTTTCAGAATAAGTTAGCAATATTTTGAAATCCATTATAGATAATCTGAAAGATTAACATGCCTTACATCTGACCATAAATTTGATACTAATATAAAATTCTATTCAATCTTTCAGGCCCACAGTACATTTTTAACTTGTTTCAGAAAAAAATCTGGCCCAGGCCAGAGTATGTGAGTCACTTGAGATACCTTCCTTTACTGACAGCTTTTAAGTTATATACCCTACAATCTCTAGTACAAACATGCCCTTCCTAATTATTTTCCCCTTGCCCCTCACATGAACCTCCTTTTCCCTTCCAAGATATATCTCATATTACCTCTTTGTGATGTTCAGACATTCCCTAGCATTTGTATTCTCACCCCTTTCCAGTCTATTCAAATCCTACCCAAGTTTCATGGACCTTCTGAAATGCACGTCCTCCATAAAATTATTCCTGCTCACTCTACCTCTCTGATTCAATCATCTGGCAAATATCATGTGCTAGATTGAAATATTATTTATCTTATCAAGTCAATATGTTTTAATACCTTTAGCAATATGCTTACAAAAATGTCCTATATTCCATGTGTTTTTTAATCCAATAAATTACTTTTCATAAGAAAAACTCATAAATATTCATCAGTGGCTAACCTAGTTCTGAGATCTAATAGCTTAAATCAAAGATCCAGTATCATCAAATTTTCTCTCTCTCGAGTATCTTTCCCATCAACAGACAAGCATGTTTCTAGTCCCAGTATGTTTTTTAAAATTTTCTCTTGACCTTATTTCTCCCTCCAGCTATAGCCCATCTCTCTGTTCCTCTTTGTAGCTGAACTGATGCTCTTATTCAGATTTAAGTGTCCAGCCCATATGATATTTAATACTCATATAAAAATTAACATGTCCAAAATCAATACTGATTTCCACTCCTGACCCCAAACTTGCTATTCCATTTCCACATATCATTTAATAGTAATTTCACCTCTCTCATTGTTAAAGCTAGATATTAATATATTGGGATATTGGGATCATTTTAACTTGTCTTTCTCTTACGCAAAATAGCTAATCCAGTGGGAAATCCTATTGTCTCCAACTTCAGAATTTATCTGGAATCCAAATATGTCTCATCTCTGACACTGCTATTTGACTATTTAATTCCACTTGAATAATTTCAATAGCTTCTGTCTGGTCTGCCAGCTTCCACTCTTGCTCAACTTTTGTGTATCTACTCTCTACACAGTAAGTAACCAGTGTGATGCTATCAGATCATGTCAGTTCCTCTGCCTCAAACTCATCCAATGGCTTCCCATGTCAATAAAAGGAAAAACCAAAGATTTTGCAAATCCTACAAAGTTCCATGTGATCTTAAACCCACCCACTTTTACTTCTAGTGCTCTCTTCTTTGCTCACATCCTTCCAGCCACATTGACCAATGTATTCTTCTTCAAACATACCATCTATGCTTATGCCTCAGGGCCTTTGCACATGCCATTCCCTCTGCCTGGAATACTTTTCCTTCCTATAAGCATATAACCCCCTTTAGGCCTTTGCTCATCAGTAGTTAGCATCAGCATCACCTTTTCAGTGAGAATTTATGTGAACAGTCTCTTTAAAATGTTAACCCCTACCCACCTTAGCATTCCCTATTATCCTCATTGCTTTATTTGTCTTCAAGTCCACTTATCTACATCTGATATAGTATTTGTTTTACTTATTTTGTCTTCCCAACTGGAATGTAAATTAGGGATTTATCTCTAATCCTCAGAATAGTGGCTCACATGTAATAGGTATTCAGTAAATATTTTCTGAATGTAAGAATAGTTAAATGAATGAATGAATAACAACAGATTACCTATAACAAAACTAGATTCTAGGTGAAATTGAATTATAATGCATTTCCCCTGATAAATTCTGGGGGTAACTCCCATGCTATCTTTGTGTGATACAAATCATGCTTCTTTTTTTTTTTTTGGACTTAAATACCACTTACGCACTGTTCAGTTACTATAATTTTGTCTTCATTCTTCACTGTTTCTGTGAACTTTATACTCACCTCTCTGTTGGACAAGGCACAATAATGTTGCTCCAGCACTGTAAGTTCAAAATGCCCAAATCTTACTATACCTCCTCAAACCCTCTCACTCTGCTTTGCTAAGCATGTCAATAAATGGCTACACTTCTCACCCAAGCCAGATATGTGGCAATTGTCTTAGAGTTTTCATCATCTGGTCTAAGTGCATCTAAGCACTCCAAACATAAAAATTGAAGGCATATCCACTCTTTTCCTTATCTTTACAAGCAAAGGTGGAAAGATAATTTTTGTGAGAAGTATTTGTGTGGGTTTTTTTTTCCGTTTTTCTCTTTTACATTAAATAGGAGAATAAACATGTAAGTATTTTCTTGCCACAGGAACTTTTTCAGGGTAGAAAGAAGAAGCTATGTAGAAACCCAGGGACAGAAGGCAAAAAGAAGCAAAAAAGAGAGAGATGAACAACTAAGACATGAGAACAGATAGTTGTATAAAGTACATGGTGTTTCCAGAGGCGCTATCCTATGTATAGTGGTGGTCAGACTCTCCAAAGAGCCACGCACTTCATATAAGACCTGAGAGCTGGAAAGTCTCCAGACTTCAGGCTATTTGCAGACTAGAACAAAGACACATATTGAAGCCAGAAAGACCAATGACCAGTGGCCTCCCTTATTGCTGCACAAGACATTGAATGGTTGCAAACACAAGGAGCACTGAACCCCAATAATGACTAAAACTGACTGTTTCACCAGCCCAGAAGAATGGGAGCTCTGTCAGCTTTAAGTTTATTTAAATAAAATAAATATCCATGGAATTTCAGCATTTGTAGGCTAAAATTTATATATTTTGCTCAATAAGCAGTCTCTCTCTCACTCATTTTTGAAAAACAAAGCCACTAGAGTGACTAGAATTTCAGAAAAAAACATTATTTCAGAACAAATATAGAATTATTTTTTAAAAAGCCTTGAAGTTCCAAGGACTGCAATTTTTCATCATACCTTTTAAACTTGGGAAAGTATGGTCTTTCCTTTCGTCTCTCATTTCTCCTCTTTCAAATAACATTTGATAAATAGAACTGTCCACTAACAAAACAGAATTCTGCACACAATAGCATCAACTCATTTAAGGTCACAGTCTCTCCAATAACTTAAAATCTTAGATAAGCAATGAAGTAGACAGAATAGGAGCTGGCAGTAGTTGCAGAGATGAGGACAAGGGGAGAAAATTATAAGCCTGAGCACATGAGTCATTTTAATGCATCCATTTTGACAAAGGAGCATTTTTGATGTAGCCTAAATCAGAAAATTATAATTGCTTTTATGACCCAGAATTGTGACAAGCATATCTTCCCCACCCTTCTCAGAGCCATATCCTTTGCTGCCTCTTACTTTCATAGATAAAGTGAAATGTAGGGATTGACTATGGAGAACATACAAGGTAGGGGTTAGGTTCTAACAGCTACATAAACTATATCTCACTAAGATTTCTGTGGTTATCGGACTTATCTCTAAGGGACCATTGGTCATTCTGAGAAAAGTATGTATTGCCCAAGAAGTCTTTTTTAAATTGAATATTTACCTTTCAAATTATCTAATTTCTCTCTCAAAATTGAACTGTTTTATTTACTCCAATGAATAAATAAAATTGCATGCTTATTAATGGTATTTGGATTTTTTTAACTGTGAAATTCTGAAGGACAGAAACATCTCCCTTTTGTAGGCTTTGTAGGCTTCCTGATTATGCACCATTAGAAACAAATATAGGACATTGGATGTGAAAGGGTTGTATAAAAGCTATTTGTGTCTTTTGAAGTGGGCTGGTCAGTTATTTTTCAGATTATTGCTTAATTTGTGTTAGTCTGGTGTCTTCCTATGTTTAGATTTACATTATGCATTTTTGGCAAGAACACTACGGAAATAATGTGCCTTTCTTAATGCTCTTTTGTTTTGAGATCCAGACTGCATAGAAGATTTCCCAAAAATATCCTTTCATTTCAGTGACTAAAAGACTTTCCTTGGTTTTATTGCTTAACTAGTCTATGCTTCATTTTCTTCCTCTATACAGTTTGGATACCAATGGTACCTTCATCACAAAGTTGTTGTGATGATTAAACAAAGTCATACTAATAAAATATGTAGTACAGCACTTGGCACTTAGTAAACTCTAAATAAATAGTAGCCATTATGAATATTCATTAATTAAAAACAAATATTTAACATGAAATAAGAACTTTCTGTGTTTACATTATTTTGCTTATTTAAGCTAGTGAACAACCCCATCAAATAGAAAAGTCATCATTAGAGTACTATCATAGTAATGCAGGCCAGATTACCAATAAATAGTAAAATTAGTGGGTGAAAGATTAAGAAGAAGTAGGATATTTGCATAGTCTCAATGTGTCTCCCTCGAAATATTTATTATAAATGGGAAAATAGTTCCATGAATGTGAGTTCCATGAAGGCAACTTTAAAGTAGGGCACCTCAATAGACATGACTTTAAAAAGCAAATTCAAAAGGCCTGAGTCAGCAGGCTGCCTTCTTGATACAGAGGAATATGGAGGCCATTGTGGCTAAGGGCAGACAAAGCAAGTGGTTAACTAAATGTTCAAGGCTAACATCACATGACATATTAACATCATGTACTACTGCCTTATTTGCTGCCTAATATAATACAATGAGAAGGGTACATTATTTTTGCACTCTATCCATAAGGAGTATCCTCACTCTAACCATGGGAAATCATCATATATACCCAAATTGACAGACATTCTGCAAAATATCTGACCAATGCTTTTCCAAAGTGGCATGATCAGAAAAGACAATGAAATACTGAAGAATATTGCAGATTGAAATAGACTAAGGAAACATGGAAACTATATCCAATGTGGGATCCTGGGTGGATGTTGGACCAGTAAATGGATATTAGTGGAAAAAATCGTGAAATTTGAATAAGATCTGTAGTTTAGTAAATAGTAATATACCAATGTTCACTTCTTAATTTCAATAAACACAATGGTTATGTAATATTTTAACAATAGAGGATGCTCAGTAAAGAGTATACAAGGTCTTTCTCTACTACTACTGCAATTTTATCTGTAGGTCTAAAATTATTTCAAAATTTGAGAAGTTTAAAAAAAATCCAGTAGATACCACTATTTTCAGATGAGGAAATGAAGTAGAATGTGTTAAGGTCACAGCTAGTAAGAGTAGGAGATGAAATTCTAAACCAGTCAGTTGGGATACAGAGCCTGCACGTTTAAAACTTCATAGAACTTCTCATTAAAATAAGTATACATTATTACACAATGATAATTTAGGAGGTGGTAAAACCCACCTAGGTGTTAACTCAATTGTAAAAAAATGTTTATTTTTATAATTCATTTTTTTCTCATTATATTGGTAATGAATACTAATATAAGAAGTCTTGGCTAAAAGACTCCTTCCTGTATCAAATTACAACCTCCACATTCACTTTTAGCACCTCCACTCTTTTTCCCTCCTTTTTTTCCTCTCCCCAATTTTCTCTCTCTCTCCCCACAACCGCCTCCTCACACACACACTTAAAAAAAAAATCTCTTCATCTCTATGCCTTAGAATGTGAGTTCCATGAAGGCAGGTATTTTTATCTGTTTTATCCCAAGTTCCTAGAGATAGTAAGTGATCAATTTCCTGAATTAATAAATGAATTAATGAAGAGTCTCTACCCTCATGGAAATGCAAGTGTTCCAATTTTAAATGGAAGGGAAGGCTGCACTAAGAGGGCATTTAGGCAAAGATTTGAAGGACGTGTGTGGGCAAGCCATGCATATAATTGGAGACAGATAATTCAGGCCAAAGAAAGCAAACTCGAAAGGCCTGAGTTGGCAGGCTGCCTTATTGATACAGAGGAACATGGAGGCCAGTGTGGTTAGGAGAGACAAAGCAAGTGGTGGAAGCCATGAGAGATGACGTGAGAAAGACAACGAGGAGCTGCAGACACACAGAAGCTAGTAAATTGTAAAGACTTTCCCCTAGGTGAGATGGAAATCTACTGGAGAGTTTTAAGCAAGTAAGTGTTATGGTTTGACTTAAATGTGTACAAGATCACTCTGGCTATTGTGCATAGATTCTAGTGAGCAAAAAGGGAGGTAGGAAGACCAGTTAGAATCTACTCCAGAAACTTAGGCGAAATACTGTACTGGCATGGACAAGTCTGGTAGTGGCTGAATTCTAACCGTGCTATTCACAGGATAACATTACTTTCCCTATCTTCAAAGCAGTTATAGTCTCATCTCCAGAAACTTTTCCCAAAGAAACATCTTATGTTATCCTGTTCAGCAATTACAACTCTCTAATAGGCCTTGTGTGTCTACCATTGTGGTAGCTGCACTGTGAACAGTATAAAATGATTACAATTGAAGGGGTTAATATTTTTTTTTAGTATGAAATAACTTTTTCAACAAAATCCTCTATCCACTCCCCCTCCCTATACCCATAAGAGTGTTCTACTTTTATTATCCTTGGATGTGGCCCTATTATGATAACCCATATCCCACAAACAATGACATTTGGATTCACACATTCTTTACAGATGTGTAAACAGGAGTATGCAGTCCCATTGAGGATAAGGGGTTCGGACACAGAGCCAGAATTTATAAAAGAATGTTCAACAGTTTCTTCCAAGTTTTTCATAGAAATGGGCCTCTCAGGGGTGGAAGTAGCATAAAGTATTTGGTGAAAGTTCTTCCCTAGTGGAGCTTACATTGTTTAGAATAAGAATTGTTAACCACATGTAAATACACAACTAACAGGAAACTTATAGACCTTGTCAAATGCCAGGAAGTAAACAAATGGGAAAATGAGATGGAGTGACAAGAGGAAACAACATCTGATGGAATAGCATGGCAAGGTGTCTTCAAAGAGGTGACATTTAAGCTGAGACCCAAAAGTTGAATATGTGAAGACCTGGGGAAAAAGTATTCAATGGAAAAAAAGTATCTAAGTCTAAAAATCATTAAATAGCAAAGAACTTAGTTAGTTTAAGGAATAGAAAAAAAAGGCAAATTTCTATAGTTGGAAAGGAAGCCATGAGGGAAAGTATCTGAGATGAAGTAGAGAGAAGTAGGTGGAAACCAGATCATGTCAGGCATTTAGGCCAGGACAAAGGATTTGGATTTTATTCCAAGAGCAATGGGAAGCCATTGGAAGCTAATGATGACAAGAGTAACATAGTCTGACTCACAATTTTTAAGTTAAGGATTTTTTTAATTGACACATTGTAATTATACATTTAGATATACATTTATATGGGGTACATGCTGATGTTCCAATACATATGTATGTTGTATAATAATCAAGTCAGGGTATTTAGCACATCCATCACATCATGCATTTATCATTTCTTTCTGTGGTGAGAACATTGAAAAGCCTCTTTTCTAGCTATTTTGTAATATACAGTACCTTACCATGAACCATCATCGCCCTATTTTGCAACAACACCAGAATTATTCCTTCTATCTAATTGTAACCTTGTACCCTTTGACCAATCTCTCTCTATCCTCCCCTTCCTTCTCTTTCCCAATCTCTAGTAATCATTGTTCTACTGTCTACTTTGATGATATCAACTCTCTTTATGATTATTATTATTTAGTTTTTATATATGAGTGAGATTATGTCATATTTGTCTTTTTGTGTCTGGCTTATTTCATTTAAGATGATGTCCTCTAGGTCCATCCATTTTGTTGCAAATGAGAGGATTTCATTCTTTCATAGGGATGAATAGTGTTCCATTGTGTATAATTAGCACATTTTCTTTATCCATTTATCCACTGTTGGATGCTTGAGTTGATTCCACATTTGCTTATTGTAAATAGTGCTGTAATAGACATCAGAGTGCAGATAGCTCTTTGATATACTGATTTTATTTCCTTTGGGTATATACCCAGTATTCCTGGATCATATGTTAGTTCTGTTTTTAGTTTTTTTTGAAAGACCTTCATACTGTTTTTATAGTGATCTTACTAATTTATAATCTAACCAACAGTATGTTAGTGTCCCTTTTTCTCCACATCATTTCCCATGCTAGTTTTCTTTTGTTTTTTTGAAAATAGCCATTCTAGCTAAAATAAGGTGGTATCCCATAAATTCGATTTGCATTTCCCTAATAAATAGTGATGTTGAGAACTTTATAATGTACCTATTGGTCATTTGTATGTCTCCTTTTGAGAAATATGTATGAAGGTCTTTTGTCTATTTTAAAAATTGGGTTATTTGGTTTTTTGGCTGTTGAATTAAGTTCCTCATATATTCAAAATATTAACCCATTCTTAGATGGATCATTTGCAAATATTGGTTTGCATCCTGTAGGTTGTCATGTAAACATTTTTAGTTGTTTCCTTTGTTGCGAAGAAGCTTTTTAGTTTGGTGTAATCCCATTTGTCTGTCTTTTGCTTGTATTGTTTTTGCTTTTGAGGTCTTATTTTTAAAATTCTTGCCCACCCCAGTGTGGTAAACCATTTATCTTGTTTTTCTTTTTCTAGTAGTTTTATATTTTCAGATTTTAAATTTAAGTCTCTAATATATTTTGAGTTTATCTATCTATATAGTAAGAGGTAGAAATCCAGTCTCATTCTTCTGCATGGGGATATTCAATTTTCCCAGCACCATTTATTGATGAGACTGTCTTTCCTTAATTGTGTGTTCTTGACACCTTTTTTTTTGAAATTTAGTATGCTGTAGTTGTGTTAATTTATTTCTGAGCTCTGTATTCTGTTCCACTGGTCTATTTTTTTATGGCAGTACCATGCTGCTTTGGTTAGTATAACTTTGTAGTATATTTTGAAGGCAGGTATTGTGAGGCCTCTAGCTTTGTTCTTTTTGATCAGGAGTACTTTGGCTATTTGGGATCTTTTGTAGTTCCATATGAATTTTATAATTGTTTTTCCTATTTCTGTGAAGAATGTCATTGGTATTTTGACAGAGAGTACATTATTAATTTTTACAGTCCATGAACACAGGATATCTTTCCATTTATGTTTATCTTCTTCAATTTCCTTTATCAATGTTTTATAGTTTTCAGTGTAGAGATATTTCACCTCCTTCAGTAAGTTTATTCCTGTCTTATATTTTTGGTAGCTATTAAAAACAGAATTGCTTTCTAGATTTCTTTTCAAATAATGTTATCTGCAAACAGGGACAATTTGACTTCCTCCTTTTAAATTTGGATGTAATTTATATTTCCTCTTGCCTATTTGCTCTGACCAGGGCTTTACAATACTATTTGGAATAGGAGTGGTGAAAGTGAACATACTTGTTTTGTTCCAGATCATAGTGGAAAAACTTTCAGCTTTTCCCTGTTCGGTATGATGTTAGCTGTGGGTTGTCATATATGGCCTTTACTGTGATGAGATACATAAACTTCCATACTAATCCATTGTCACATTGCTATAAGGAAATACCTGAGACTGAATAAGAAAAGAGGTTTAACTGATGCACAGTTCTTCAGGATGTACAGAAAGAATGACTGGGTAGGCCTCTGGAAACTTACAATCATGGCAGAAGGCAAAGTGGAAGTAGGCACATCCAACATGGCTGAAGAAGGAGGAAGAGAGCAAAAGTGGAGGGGCTGTACACATTTTAACAACCTGGTCTCATAAGAACTCACTCGCTATCATGAGAAGAGCAAAGGGAAAATCCACCCCCATGATCCAATCACTGCACACCAGGCCTCTCTCCCAACATTATGGATTACAATTCCACATGTGATTGGGCAGGGACACAAATAAAAACCATATCATTTCACCCCTGGCCCCTCCCAAATCTCATGTCCTCCTCACGTTGCAAAATACAATGATCACTTCTTAACAGTCCCTCAAGTCTTAACTCATTTCAACATTAACTCAACAGTCCAAGTCTAAAATCTTATCTGAGACAAGGCAAGTTCTTTCTGCCTATGAGCATGTAAACTCAAAAACAAGTTAGTTACTTCCAAGATGCAGTGGGGGTACAGGCATTGGGTGAATACACCTGTTCCAAAAGGGAGAAATCAGCCAAAACAAAGGGGCTACAGGCCCCATGCAGGTCCAGAACCCAGCAGGGCAGTCATTATATCTTAAACCTCCAAAATAATCTCCTTTGACTCCATGTCACACATCCAGGCCACAATAATGCAAGGGGTCTGCTCCCAAGGTCTTGGGTATCTCCCCTGCTATGGCTCTGAAGGGCACAGGCCCCTTGGCTGCTTTTATGGGCTGGTGTTGAGTGCCTACAGCTTTTCCAGGTGTGTGGTGCAAGCTGTCAGTGGATCTAGCATTCTGGGGTCTGAAGGATGGTGGCCCTCTTCTTACAACTCTAGTAGGCAGTGCCCCAGTGGGGACTCTGTATGAGGACTCCAACTCCATATTTCCTTTCTGCACTTGCCTAGTAGAGGATCTCCTTGAGGGCTATTCCCTGCAGCCAACATCTGCCTGGACAGCCAGGCATTTTCATACATGCTCTGAAATCTAGGCAAAGGCTGCCAACCGTCAACTCTTGCCCTCTGTGCACCTGCAGGGTTAACACTACATGGAAGCTGCCAAGGCCTACAGCTTGAACCCTCTGGAGCAGTGGCCTGAGATATATCTGGGTCCCTTTTAGCCATGGCTGGAGCTGGAGCAGCTGGGATTCAGGGAGCAGAATATCAAGGTTGCACAGGACAGTGGGGTCCTGGGTCTGGGCCACAAAACCAGTCTTCTCTCCTGGGCCTCCAGGCCTGTGATGGGAGGGGCTGCCATGAAGGTCTCCGAAATGCTTCAGAAATATTTTCCCCATTATCTTAGCTTTTAACATTCAGCTCCTCTCTACTTATGCAAATTTCTGCCCCTGGCTTGAATTCTACCCCAGAAAATGGGTTTGTCTTTTCTACCACATGGTCAGGCTGCAAATTTTCCAAACTTGTATGCTCTGCTTCCCTTTTAAACGGAAGTTTCAGTTTCAGATAATCTCTTTGCTCATGCATATGAGCATACACTGTTAGAAGCAGCCAGGTCATGTCTTGAGTGCTTTGCTGCTTAGAAATTTCTTCCACCAGGTACCCTAAATCATCACTCTCAAGTTCAAAGTTCTTAATAAGTTCCTCGTCTCCAACTGAGACTTCACCAGTCTGGCCATCTCTGTCCAGATCACTGTGAGCATTTTGCTCAGAACCATTCAAAAAGTCTCTAGGAAGTTCCAAACCTTCCCATATCTTCCTGTCTTCTTCTGATCCCTCCAAACTGTTGCAACCTCTGCCTGTTACCCAGTTCCAAAACTGCCACCATGTTTTCAGATATCTTTATAGCAATGCCCCACTCCTGGTACCAATTTTCTGTATTAGTTTATTCTTACATTGCTATAAAGTACTACCTGAGACTAAGTAATTTATAAAAAAAAAAAAAGAGGTTCAATTGACTCACAGTTCTGTGAGCTGTACAGGAAGCATGGCTAGGGAGCCCTCTAGAAACTTACAATCATGGAAGAAGGTGAAGGAGAAGAAGGCATGTCTTACATGGCTGCAGAAGGAGGAAGAGAGTGAAAGGGGAGGTGCTACACCCTTTTAAACACCAGATCTCATGAGAACTCATTCACTATTATGAAAACTGCAAGGAGGAAATCCACCCCCATGATCCAGTCACCTCCTATAAGGCCCTTATTGAAGATTACCATTGGATGTGAGATTTGGGTGGGGACACTAATCCATATTATACCTAATACTTCTATACCTAATTTGTTGAGCATTTTTTATCATGAAGGGATGCTGAATTTTGCCAAATGCATTTTCTATGTCTATTGAGATGCTCATGTAGTTTTGTCTTCCTTTTTTATTGTAATGTATCACATTTATTGATGCATATGTTGAACCATCTTTGCATTCCTAAGATTAATTCCACTTGATCATAATGTATGATCTTTTTCATGGTCTGTTGAATTCAGTTTGCTGGTAAGTTATTTTGGATTTTTTTTCATCTACGTTCATCAGGGATATTGCCTATAGTTTTTTCGTTATATCTTTGTCTGGTTATGGACTCAAAGTAACACTGGCTTCATAAAATAAGTTTGGAAGTATTTTCTCCTCTTCAGTTTTCTGGAATAGTTTGAGAAGAATTGGTATTAGCTCTCCTTTAGATGTTTGGTAGAATTCAGCAGCGAAGCCATCAGATATTGAGGTTTTCTTTTTTTTTTCAAGTTTTTATTAGTGATTCAATTTCCATACCTGTTCTGACTTACATTTTTCAAAATTTATTCTGAAATTATGTGGAGGACAATTTTTAAAGTATCAATAATAGAAGTGTTTTATTCATCTTTTCATTGCCAGTTCCTTGTAGTATATTGACTGGAGAATTAGTTACAATGACTTCAGGTTGCAGGAGCTATTACTTTTGGGAGTTTACAGGCAAGCAAGGGGAGATGGCTGTAAAGATCCATGTAGTAATATATCAGAGTTGAAGATATCAGTATAAACTCTTGTTTACCTTAGTATAAACACAAATATTTACATACACAATTATTTATAGGTATTTACATACATGAGTTAGCTTACACACATATATTTTCTTGCTCTGTCTGAAGAGAGGACTTAGAAGCAATATCTGGCTCACGCCTGTAATCCCAGCATCTTGGGAGGCCAAGGTGGGTGGATCACCTGAGGTCAGGAGTTTGAGACCAGCCTGGCCAACATGGTGAAACCCCGTCTCTACTAAAAATACAAAAAATTAGCCAGGCATGATGGCAATCGCCTGTAATCCCAGCTACTCAGGAGGCTGAGGCAGGAGAATCACTTGAACCTGGGAGGTGGAGGTTGCAGTGAGCTGAGATCGTGGCACTGCACTCCAGCCTGGGCAACAAGAATGAAATTCTGTCTTGGGGGAGGTGGGGAAAGAAGCAATATCTCAGTAACAACAAGAACCGACAAGAACATCTAGTACCCAGTTGTTGGTTCCTCGCATCATTCTTTAATAAAAAGAACCAGGACTCCTTGGAAAATTGACTAATTCCAAGGCTGAGGCATGGAATATGGAAGAAAAGTCTTGGGCATCTTGTAGTGTCTAAAAGTAGGAAAGTCCTAAAAAAGGACTAAAAGTAAGAAAGTCCTAAGAAAGTCCACAATGATAGAGTATGTTAAAATGTCACAGGAGCCAACTGAAAGAGCTCTCAATGGCCATAGATGGAACAATATGAAAAACAAAATGAACAAAGTAATATTTGATTATGATCCAAAGTATAAAATCAATATCCATGAATTCATACTAATATAATTGAATGAAAGAATGAATAAATAAATTGGGGAATGGGGAATGAGGCAACTCTGTCATGCCGAGTGATTCCAAACAATTTATGTTGTCATTCTACCTCAAGGAGATGGAGCATAACTCTCCACTTCTTAAACATGGACTGCAAAAAGTAACTTTATTCCAAAGAGTACAGTATGAAAACTGGGTGAGAGATTCGTCAGTGGAGAAACCCAACAAACAATACCTTGGTCAGGTGTTCATAGTCAACATTAATAATAATAAGTCATGTTTATAGTGTGTAGACCTGATATGATGTGATGAAAAAGACACTTTATGTCTGTTGTCTTTTTCCCAAAAGCCTATAACCTCTGTCTAATAAAAAGGGAAATATCAGACAAATCCTAATTGAGTGACATTGTTGACAAAATACCTGGCTCTAAGTTGCCAAGGTCATAAAGAAAAAAAAAATGAAAATGTGAGAAACTGGCACAGCCAAGAGCCTTGAGAAGACATAGTAAATAAATGTTAATTGGTGTCCTGCATGGAATCCTGAAATAGGAAAAGGGCATTAAATAAAAGCAAAAAAAAAAAACCTGAATAAAGTATGGAGTTTAGTTAATAAAAAGATATAAACATCTATTCTTTGTCACAATGTAGCAGTAATGTAAGATATTAATATTAGGGGAAATTGAATGTGTATATACAAGCTCTTTGTACTGTCTTGGCAAATTTTTGGTAAATCTAAAACTATTCTAAAACAAAAGATTTATTAAGAAAACATTATTAACAAAATGTACTATCTACTAGGTGGACTGGGTTTTGCCAAATAGACACAACTTTTCTTAAAGGGATTCCAGTAAGATTGGGCTAGCTTTGCAGAGAGGAAAGCCTGGAGTTAAACAAAGTCACCAGCTGAGAGGCTTGGTTGGAGTAGCTGACCTATAATCTTGACCTTGAAAATCTGCTGTATAATCTATAGCTTCAGATCAGAAAGGAAATAGGAGCAGTTCTGGGCGTAGCACACTTTTGTGTGATCATGTTCAGTGTGTCTCCAGCACCTAAAGCAGTGACTGGCACGTAGTAAACCCTCAGTAAATCCGTGGCAAATCCTTGAGTATGAGAAGCAGAATAGCATAATGGTTATGTATGTATACTTTGGAGTCACATAGCTGGATTTGTTCTATATCTTCCACTTAATAATTGTATCATTATTTGGCAAGTTTTCTCCTCTGGCTCAAGCAATATAATGCCTCTGTTTTGACTCAGTTTTCTTTTCTGTTTGACAAAATTTTAGTGATTCATCTAATTACTGTAAAATTAAGCAAGATAGTATTTGAAAAGTAATTAATCCTGTATCTGGAGCAAAAAATGGAAAATTTTATTACCTTAAAATTTTAACCAATAAAAAATAAATTTGCTTATTATTTGTATCCTCTCTCCCATTTCTGTCTCCTAGTATTAAGACAGAGAAATGCTATCTATGAAAACAGATGGAAAATTTCTGATTATTTTCCAGACTACCTGATAAGACAGCCAGTATGAAGCCTTGCTGCTCCAATACCATGGGATTCCGAAATAGGAGCCCACTGAGCAGAAACATGGCCAACCCTCTAGATTGTGAGGCTCTTCAGTAGAAAGCAAAAGAGAATAAAAGGACTGCAAAGTATGGCAAAGGAAAGCTTCTCACTACCATTAGACCCTGGGGTTCATCATTTTGAGACCACAAAGCAATAGGTTTCTGAGGAAAGGAAGATGGTATGGTAGATCCGAGACACTGCTTGGGAATTCCCACCTATCCCAGTAGATTCTGCAACAAGAATTGGAGCTGTGAAATTGGAATCAGAAATAAAGAATTGTTTTCTGTGTTCTGTGTGTATCTAATGGGTTTGTTAAAAGACTGGTTAAAGCACAGGTTATAGGCTGGCATCACCCTCACCCTTCCTTCCTTCTGCCTTCTCTAAAGAAGCTACAAGACTCAGATTATGGAACACATTAGAAAGTCAATTCATTGCATGAGAATGAAGCTGGAGAAGGAATAAGGATGCAAGAAGTCACTGAGTGGTCTTGTTACTTAATATAAATCAATCAATAATTCAGTGACTTTAATTTTAACAGGAAAATGTATGCTTCCTTTTATAAAGATATGTGTGAGTGAATGCATCAATATATTCTGCTTCACTGAGCTTTAGTTGTGCAAAGTTCTTGCCTTGAGTTATTTGTTTGGAAAATTGCTTAATTTTCAACTCAGTTGATAAAGCATAGCTTTAAACTAATGATTTGAAGACTTTTACACTTTACCCTGAGAATTTAGAGTCACCTTCTTTTCAAAAACATAGTTAAGACACCAAATAATAATTGTCTAGGAAAGTCTGGAAGCTGTGCTATCCAGAGAAAATAACCTTTTGAGAGATTTAGAATTTCTATTTCTTGACCTGAGAATTCCTTTAGAATTTAAACATTAAAGAAAAGCTAATGAAATGTTACAACCAACCCTGCTCCCATATATTCTGTTTTGTTTTGTTCTTATATCATAGGAAGGCATTTTATTTTATTTTTAATGTAAACTCACAACTAGTTCTACAAGTTAACAGAAGAAAAGGGGGTGGCTTATACAGGTACAGTTTCAAGGACATTATCCAAATCATGTCTTCTTTTTGCTGAGCTTAATGTCTCACAGTTCACCTTTTTGGTATCACTTTAATGAAACTGTCTTTTTTTGTGTGAATTGCTGCTGATTGAAAAATGGCTAAATCTTAACTGAGATGGAGAAGTATGTTTACACCTTAGCAGTTCTAATATACCTGCTTATTAATCCACTTAAAAGAGCCTGCAAACAAAGCTGGGCTGCATCCGGGGCTGGCGTGGACTTTCATTTCAGAGATTCGGTTTTTAAGAAGATGCGTGCCAAATGTGTTGTTCTTTTTTTTTTTTTCCCAATGATTTGTAATATACATTTTATGACTGGAAACTTTTTTGTACAACATTCCAATAAACATTTTGATTTAAAAAAAAAAAAGAATAAAACTGAGGTCCAGATAAAAAAGGCGGCAAAATGCTAGGAGCAGAAGGAAAAGAATGTGAGAGAAACCTAGGGAATGAAAAGTGAATGCCCAGGATTTATGAAGACCATGGGGGAACCAGGGAGTAGCAGAAACAAGCTGGGGCCGTAAAGAGGAAGTCAGTGAAATGACTATGGTGATTCCCATGATACTTCATCCTCTATTCCATCACTACTTCTTTAATGCACGTGAATTGTTATGGTCTAAGGAATAAAGATTTATGAAGTTGGAGCTAAGTTGATATATTCATTCATTTATGTAGTCCCTGAAAGTATGTTTTACTTTCCCTTTGTCCAGCTACTATGCAACATTTATAAAGCAGCCTAGAAAAGACCGTTAGTAAAGAAGGTGGCACAGGATTTCAGAGGTTTAATTCATTCTCTATGTTAAAAGTAATATGCCAATGGCTCAGCAGTTCATATGTTAGAATGTATTATTAAAATAAGAGACACATCAAGAGTTATGGTAAAAATGAAGACTAAAATATAATTTCACTTTTTTCTGAAGTCAAATATTAATAAATTTAATATTTTTCAAAATCAAGTTACACAACTTTTAGCTTCTATGCTGAAAACTTTTCTGAGAGACTGGTTAATTAAATTAGTGTTGCAACTAAAATTCTTTAGTTTTAGAGATTTTCAATTTAACTTTTTTGTTACTGACTAAACAAACAATTAAGAAAGCCTTCTATTATTTTAACATATATTAGTGGAAATTTTACATTAGGAATACATTGTTCTTGACTTATAAAAACATGTGACAATATACAGGAGGCTTTACTAGAATTTTTAAGGGATTCTATATGAGTAACAGTACTCCCTACTGATTCTTCCTGCATATAAAGCATGAAAAATTATTAATACAACCAAAAAAGTCTTTTGTGATATCAATGGTATTTTTCTAGACCTAAAATGTTTAGTTCCTAAGTCTTTTAATATTAGATGTGTGAGATTACTGATTTTGCTTTTTCTAAGGCTTTCTATTTAGGCTGCATATTTTAATAAACAAAGGATGTCATACTTTTAATTTTTATGGTTCCACACATTCAAAACTCTTTTACTTTACTTGGTGAAACTGTTTTTTTAAAAACAGTTGGAACAATAATAATTCTTCTCATGGTATACATTCAATACAAGCATGTCAGACTGTGATACATTCGTCTCACTACTCTCTTTACAGTCTCCTTGGAAAAAAATGAATGCATTTTCTCACTCTTAATACTACATATAGATTGTAAAATATGCAATCCTTTAATTTAAAATAAATGTTTTTTATAAATAAAATTTACTTAGACTACAGTATTTATTTTTATATTTACTTTATATTGATTTTTGTAATTATAAAACATTATACTTCCCACTATTAAGAAAACCTGCTCAATAAATAGATAAGTATATATAATTGATTATAAAGTTCACACATATCATACTCAATGAATACCAAATATAGCATAATTAAACTATTAAATGCAATTTTTTTAAAGCATATGGTTGCTTCTTACATGGCTATGTCAGAAATGTCACATATTCTTTTAGTAAATAATGGGAATGTAGTTAAGTTAAACAGAAAAGTGAATAAAGATGCTATCAAATAATAATAATGTTTATTTGTAGGTCATAAGTAGAAATGAGGCTTACATTTTAAAACTACATTTTGCAAGTGATACTAGTTTTAGAAGTCCGATTCCAGGTTCTTCACAATCCCATTTTAGATTCAGTGAGCATATTCTACATTGTGTATTTTGGTAAACACTGTGAAATTTTTGTCTAGTTTCCCTTGCCCAGAGTTCAAAAACATTTTTCATATTTTTAAATATTTATTTATAGTAGAAAAATCAATAATTAAAAGACGAAATTTAAAAAGCAGAAACATTAAACAGAATTTTCTACTCAGTGGGCACAAAGCGGACCCTCAGAGAAGAGAAAATAGTATTATGTGGCCATAATATCCTGTCTCCTTCTAATGAAGAAACTGAGATCCATTCTGCACTCAGATATCACTTCTCAAATGTTTGAGGATACATTTTCCTGTTGTCACAAGAAATCAAGGCACAGAATGGGATAAAGGAGGGAAAAGGCAGCTACAGAGAGACAGTATTATTATCCAGAGCTTCAGTGTAAGGGTTCAAAACCCAGTTCTACTCCATGACCTATGCAATTTGCTGAATAGGCATAATAACCAACCCACCTAGAGCACTTACAGTGGGCCAGGTGTTGTTCCATGCATTATGTTATTTTCACTTAAGCTTCTCAAAATATTATTTTACAGATTAATAAATCAAAGTTACTTTGCTTCTCTCTGTTCACTTTAATACTTAAGATCTTATTTCAAGTCATCATCTCCAGTGCCCATACCCTAAACCACAAATCTACATCCCTTTAAGTTAGAGTTTACAACCATACAAAATGAGGGCATGAATGAGTATAACTGTATGCTCTGCTTACTGTCATAATAAATTTAATTATGGCTAAATGGATGTTGAAAACCTCTCATATAATAAGTTTTAGGTAAGTATAGACAATTGCAAAGCTGGAAGCAGAGTAGATACAATGCCTGGAATCATAAAATGGAGTTTTAGAGAATGTCTTGTTCCATTAAATTTAGATTTGCAAATCAGATAAATCAAATCTAATCTTGAAAGGGAATGGACTTCTCAAAGCCACTGACTGCTAATCACATAAACTAATTTTGAAATATCAACTTTGTTTGATATTGCCTAAAATGTTGACTTTTGAGAAAGGCTTAACGAATATTTCACATGCAACAAAGGATTTAAAAAATAATTACTCAAATTGGCAAATTCAGGAATCTAAAAGTTTTTATTGACATTGGCATGATAGAATAATAAATTCCAGCACACAATTTATTTGATTGATGGCCTGGTAGTGTCCCAGTAATGTTAAACCCATAGCTTTTCCACTCATATACAATATTGGTTGTTATATAAATGTCAGATACCACAGGCTTTGATACTAGGGGCCAGCTTGGTGAATTGAACAGGGCAGTGGCCTGGGAAACCATAGGCATATCCTCTCGACACAGTTTGCATAAATCTGAGCAGATCACTAATCTTTGTTGAACCTCTGTATTAGGAGCATAAGGTATTTTATTTAAAGAAATAAGTCATGAACACTTTGATATGCCAGGAACTATTCAAGATAGCCTCGATTCATGACCTGAATGTGTGTAGATAAATTTATAATATAATGAACTGAGGAGCTGACACTTTATTTTGGTGAGTGTGTAGTGGTTGGAGGTCGAGGAAGGAAGGAGCAATAATGAATCAGACGCAAATGAACTGGCTATATGTCTAAAAAGAGTGATTATATGTGACATGTTTTATTTTTAAGTCTATAGAAGATGTTTGGTCATCTAAGAGCCAGGAGCTAGTACTGAATGATCTTCAGCTAGAAAGCCGAACTGGATGACCTTAAATTAAAATATTTGCATCAGTGTTTCAGTGTTATCAGCTCAGAGAACTCTTGTGTTTCCTCAACACTTTCATATGTAACTCTTTCTCTGTATGTAATACTGCTGCTATTCATTTTTAGCTTTCTTTGCATAATATCCATAGAGGGCAACTAAATCTAGACAGTGATTTTAAAACAAAATAAAACATTGTATTAGTCACAGAGACAATATAGCTTTCAGAAGTTTTATTAATGTCTGCCTTTCAGGAGCTGCTTTGAAAAATGACATGAGAATATCATAAAGTAAAATGCTTATAAGATTCAGATATACTAAATATAATTTTCTTGAACTTGATTAAAATTATTACTAGTTAAGCAAACTGTATTTCATCCACTGCTTTCTACTCTTTGTCACTTTTTAGCAAGAATTTTGGAGATAATTCATAGGGAGGAAAACAAAGAAGCAAAGACCTTGTAAGGAAAATCCAAATAGAATAAAATTGCAAGTAAACAGAAAACTGTGTGCTTAAAAAAGATTTTCATGCTTTAAAAAAATACGTATATACCTCCAAGTTTGGGTAATTAGAAAATTGTCTGTTATAAATAATTTTCTTTTAGACATTTTCTTAATTATTGCCCTATCACTTAACAGTTTTTCCCCCCGGCTACCACCACACTTGTGTTACGGTCCTGTTGAATAGGGGGATCAAGTTGTTACTTGAGTTGTGGCACCATAACAGTCTTTAATAAACAGAAGCATATCCTAGGTGAACATAAACATTGTTGTAATTTATGGAAATATCAGTTTCAAGTAAAATGAGCAGCTTTGGTTGTCAACAAACAAATACAAATCGGCTAAATTTTAAAGATATAATATTTAACATAACTAGATTACTGAACTAGTGTCTCAGGTGTGTTTGTCTACTAATAATAAAACATTCACATGCCTTGAATAATTTACTATTAAAACTTTCATCTGTTAAACCAACCATAAAATTGCTCCTTTACTTACTATCAGATGACAACATTGATTTATAGTGACATATGAGTTCAACTGAGGAGGTAAATACTCCTAGAAATATACTTTGGCCTACATGAGCAAAATAAAACTTTGAATTAAAAATACTACGAAAAATATTTTATTTTTGCAATATATACTTTTCACTGTGTACTCTTATTTAGCTAGTAAAAATGTTTCACATATAACTATTTCAAAGTTTTGTTGAAAAATAATTCTGTTGAAAAAGGACAGATGAGAATACATACCTACTTATATAAATTTCAGACTTATTCTTACCTTTCCATTTTTGGTAAAATTTATAAAAAATACCGTATGCAATGTTGGCAGATTGCTCAGATGCAAGGCTGATTTCATGAGCATGCAGCATGCACAGTCAGAGAGGGGTCTGGACTTAGAAGGACCCTGCTCTCGGTTTAATCCTCCATTGTCACCATATTGAAATTCTTAATATTTGAATAAGGGCCCCCCATTCTTATTTTGCACAGGACCTTGAAAATTATGTAGCCTGTCCTTCTCAGATGCTCACTACATCTGTGATTACAATATTGCTTGTACTGGTAAAAGAAATATAATCAATTTAGACATGTAAATAAACCGTCTATTAGGTAGCTTGGCAGCCCTTTCACTGGGACAACTGCTCACTGAAGACTGGGCTCTAAAAATTACATTGCTGCTTTGAGACTCTCACCAAAGCTAATTGGTATCATCTTTCCCAGAACTGACCATTTCAGCTCTTCATGGGATATCCCCAGAACCATTTAATTAATTATTTTTTAGCTTAGCGGAGCCTGTACAAATTTCAGTTGAATTGAAACAAATAAGAATTAAGTTATACACACATCATAAATAGAAATTTCATTAAAATAAGTAATAGAAACAACCAAATATAATACAATATTAAGAATAATGAGATGGAACTATAAATATGTCCAGAAAATTATACAAAGTATGAGAAAGATGCATGACAATATAGGGGGCAGTGTCTCCTTTATGTTATTTTGTTTTAGAAATACATTCAAATATAAACAGATTTTGAAGAGATCAAAGTGTTAACAGAGATGGTTATAGGAGGTAGCTTTTACATATAGTATATGGGATATATATCCCATATGGGATATATGTAAAGCTTTGCATTCAGATTCAGATATGTAAAGCTTTACATACATCATATATATATATATATATATATATAGCCTTATATATAAGGGTTGGCTATAAGATAATTTATATTTCTACAGTATAATATATAAAATTTTGCTTTATTTAAAAAATTTTACCAAAAATGTTTCCTTTGTAGCTAGAGGAATCTTAAGATTGGTCTTTCTAACAAAACAAATGTCTGATATGACTTCCTTTGTTGAATATATTCTTCCACATTTTCAAAAATATTTGGTCATTCCCTAAATAAACACTTTAAATTATTGTGAGTTTGAAACTGTAACTAGTAGAGTTAAAACGTGAACTACTGCAATCATCTATATTCTCCCTAGATCATGTTAGTTATTCAACTATTTCAAATTTATGAAAATGAATTCATGTTTGACATTGTGCATATACAGACTCTTTAAGCTTTAAATATAGCTTACAGCCAAAAAAAATCAGTTAAGGAATCTCGTACGGTGATTAGATATAAAAATGCAGCCCTTATCCTCAAAAAATCACAGTTAAGTGAACCAGAGACATAGTGATAGGACAACATATATTTTAAAAGACATGAGTAACCTATTGGGAAATATTATAATATGTTAAATGTCAGAGCCAACTCCCTGTTTTGTTCTCTTCCTGGCCATAAATGAGAATTTCTTCTGAGTATCATAAAAGTGATTAGCTAACTGTGAAGCAAGAAAAAGAAAGAATTCTGTTAGGATATATTTGGAGAAATTAATCTGTTAATCTCAAAATGGTCCAAATATAATGATGACCTAACAAAGAAGATCAATGAATAGTGCCATACTAGATGATCTTATAGTGTAAAATAAATTATATATACCTTAAATATAAGGTATTTGTAATTAAATATAAGGTATTGGTAAATTAAATAAGCTAGTGGTAAATTTAACTGACCATATCAGTATGCCCTTTTTGTAATTATATTAATATTTTGATAAGTTTGTCCATGAAACAGGCAACTGCTAAAAGTTTTGGAGTATTCTTATTGTTTTCAGGTCCTCTTTGCAATATGCTTCTCCCAAATCCCATATTATAATTGAAAATTATCATTTATCTATATTCTCCAAACTCAAGTTAATGGGGAGTAAATGCTTCTGATTCATGCTCCAGTTAAACATACTCAGAAATAATTTGATATGGAGTTGTTTCTAAAAGAGATATCATTTTACCAGATGCCCCCCATAATCTCCTTTGTTTAGTGACTTCTCTTTATGATAACTTCATGAAATTGAAGAATCATTAACAGAAACTGTTGCTAATAAGGTCAACATCACCCAAATCTTGTCTGAACAGTTTGCATGGAAAATTGCATTAAAATTATGATGCTCATGTTCAAAAATATAAGAAATATCAAATGACAAGAAAATTATTTTGCTATTATAACTAATAATAATAAAGGCTGAGCCCTGACAAAGTTTTTCAGATTTGAACAATTTTGTAAAATTGAAATGAATTCCAAAAACTTCAGTGTTTACTTCTTATATCAAATCTTATATATTTGAGTAAATTGGTAATTCTATAAGGATTTTACTTACACACACACACACACACACACACACACACACACACACACACACGCTACAAATCAGGAAAAATATAAAATGATGTAATTGTAAAAATGTTTATTTATGCAATTAAACTGATTCTTATTTCCAAATCTAAAGACTTTTTCAAATATGATAAGCCTTGTTATGATGAATTCTTTCCCCCCCAAATTCATATATTAAAGTTACAGTACCTCAGAATGTGGCTGTATTTGGATATAGAGCTTTTAAAGGTAATTTTAAGGTAAAATGAGGCCATATGGGCGAGCTCTAATCCAATATGAATGGTGTCCTTATAAAAAAAAAAAAAAGATAAGGACACAGACATACACAAGAAGACAGCCATATACAAGCCAAGAAGAGAGGCCCTTAGAAGAAATCAACCCTGCCAACACCTTGATCTTAGAAGTCGAGCTTCCAGAATTGTGGAAAAGCAGAGCAAATTTCTGTTGTTTAAGAGACCCACTCTCTGGTATGTTTTTATGGTGGCCCTAGCAGATGAATATAAGCCTTACCATGGACTATTGAAAAATGCAATGTTTTGAACTTATATTTTGATACCATTTGCATTCAGAAGCATAAGTAGATTCTCAAGACAAGCTAAATAATTTAATTAATTCAAGTGATTACTTCAGAGAGGGATTTTGGAGGCCAGCTACCAAGTTCTCAATACTAAAAATTGAATGTGAAGCCTTAAGTATTTTAAAGTTTTCAAATAAGTAGGGTGGCAAATATCCAGGATATAGTGGCTATTAAATCTAACACAAACGTATTTATTGGCTTTTTGGAAAACTGATGAATGAATTAATTGTTCAAAACTTTGACCAGAAACCAAAAGGGCACAAATGTGCAGTGACCCGAACTTTGAGCTGATGGATGCTGTTGTAGAATTGAAATGAAGGATAATCATAATCGGTCAGTTAGATATTCTGTAAAATAATACGTCTCACAATTGGTATTGTGAAAAATAAATGAAAACATATGGAGAAGTATATGACACAGTTCCTGAAGTGGAGTTGATACTCATTAAAAGAATAAAGAAAGTGAATAAAAACAAATCAAATGGTTTGGAACTGAAGGGAAAATGTTTGACTTTAAACAAACCTAATGATAGAGGCCACTCAGGAGGGACTCCTTTAGACTTCAAATTTCTTCCAAGTTAAATGAACAATCTGAGTGTGTATTGAAGAATTAACAGCTGAGCATATAATTTGTGTCCTGAGATGATCTCACACATCAATAATATTTAGTTGGGTTCATCTGCATTGTGCAGTAGTGGCATATGAGAAATAAAGAAAGACTAGAATTCAGTATCAGTCCTTGACAGGGTAAAGTCGTTCTTTTAAAGATCAATGATGGCATCCAGACTGCATCTTATATAGGAAAGGAGATGGGGCTCAAGGTTATGCTAGCTTTATTCCATTTTTCTATTTCTACATGGAAAAAAATTGCTCATGTTTTCCTTCCTTTGTATTAAAATAACATCATTTGTCTCAAAGTTAATTCTGTAAATTTAGACAATGTAATAATAAGCTATGAAATTCTCAGCTTTCAAGATGAGGTAATACATTATACAATGTTGAAAACAGTGATTAGTACACATGAATGATGGTAGTTGACTTGTGATTTTCACAAATGACTTTTGGCCTATATAAGGCTTGGAGAGCCATGAGTTTGAAAACTACAAATGTTAGATACATATATTTTTAGAAAACTATACTACAGGACTACAGTAACCAAAACAGCATAGTATTGGTACAAAAACAGACACGTAGACCAATGAAACAGAATAGAGAGATCTGAAAAAAGGCTGCACACCTACAACTATCTAATCTTTGACAAAGTCAACAAAAACAAGCAGTGGGAAAAGGACTCCTTATTCAATAAATGGTACTGGGATAACTGGCTAGCCATATGCAGAAGATAGAAAATGGACCCCTTCATTATACCATATACAAAAATTAACACAAGACAGATTAAAGACGTAAATGTGAAATCCAAAACTATAAAATCCTGGGAGACAAACTAGGCAATACCATTTGGGACATAGGAATGGGCAAATATTTCATGACAAAGAGGCCAAAAGCAAGTGCAACAAAAGCAAACTTGACAAGTGGGATCTAATTAAACTAAACAGCTCTGCACAGCAAAAGGAACTATCAACAGAGTAAACAGACAACTTACAGAATGAGAGAAAAATTTTGCAAAATATGTATCTGACAAAGTTCTAATATCCAGCATTTATAAGGAACTTAAATAAATTTACAAGAAAAAAAAACCATTAAAAAGTGGGCAACAGACATGAACAGATACATTTCAAAAGAAGACTTATGTGTGACCAACAAGCATGTGAGAAAAAGCTTAACATTACTGATCATTAGAGAAATGCAAATCAAGAACACAATGAGACACCATCTCACACCAGTCAGAATGGCTACTATTAAAAAGCCAAAAAATAACAGGTGCTGGCAATATATCAGAGAAAACCGAATGCTTATACACTGTTGATGGGAGTTTAACCGTTATAGAAAACAGTGTCGCAATTCCTCAAAGACCTAAAAATGGAAATACAATTCAACCCAGCAATCCCATTACTGGGTATATACCCAAAGGAATATAAATTGTTCTATTGTAAAGACACATGCACGCTCTTGTTTATTGCAGCACTATTCACAATAGCAAAGACATGGGATCAATGCAAATGTCCATCAATGGGAGATTGGATAAAGAAAATGTGGGACATATACACCATGGAATACTAGGCAGCCATAAAAAAAGTGAAATCATATCCTTTGCAGGAACATGGATGGAGCTGGAAGCCATTATCCTTAGAAAATTAACACGGGAACAGAAAAATTCTGCATGTTCCCACTTATAAGTAGGAGTTAAATGATGAGAACACATGGACACAAAAAGGGATACAATAGATACTGAGGCCTACAAAAGGTTGGAAGTTGGGAGGAGGGAGAGGATCAGAAAAAATAACTAATGGATACTAGACTCAATACATGGGTGATTAAATAATATGTACAACAAACTTGTGTGACACAAGTTTACCTATATCATAAACCTGCAAATGTACCCAGAACTTAAAATAAAAGTTAAAAAAAAGTAAACTTTGAAGCAAAAAATAAAGCCAATCAGAGCCATTAAAAAATACTGAAATCTTGAAGGCATAATTTTTTTTATTTGTGAGAATGAGTGTCAATTTCTTAGTTCCAAATTTTGGATTGTTGTGGACTTTGTGTATTAATACTGAAAGGTTCAGAAAAAATGCTACTGAAATACTTTATTATTATTTCAGTGGAAGAAGGAGGGGCAAGGCTTGAGTCATCTCAGTTCCGAACATTTGCCTGAGAGATAGGGAATACTTCTTGGTGATGACCACCTGTGGGTGGTTATAGGAACTTATGATAGACCTTTCCAAGTCTTGACATTTTTATTGCAATGAATTCATTTGTTGGATCTCCATTGGTGAGTACTCCAATAACTTCCTTTGGCTGAACTAGAAAAAGGGTAAGCAAATTCATGAAATTTAAGGCTTTTATGGGCTTTGGAAAGATAGGAAGGCTTTTCTTTCCCCTTTTGAGAGAAAACTGAGTCTCAGAGAGTCTAGGTGGTTTAGATAAGATCACTGAATTAGTTAATGTCCGAAACAAAACTAGTCAGATAAAATAGGTTAATGTATTTTCTAGTACGATATAGTAGGCATTTATGGTTTTACCTATCCCAACTTTTGTGAAGTTACGCTTTTCCTTAACACCTTCTTTCACATTTTTACAGTGGGAACAACTGTGTGAATGGAGCAAAACTCTACTCCTCCTGGCTACAGTTGATTGTCCAGGGCCATATAGCTGACCTAAGTCCTGGACATACTTCCTCCGCCAAGAATTTGGAATTGAGACCAAAACTATCTAGTTTTAATGTTTGCTTTTAATGTTGCTGGTCTCTTGAATGAAGAAAATGAAAACCTGAGAACTCTGGACAGCTTCATTCTGCCATGTTGGCAGGTAATCAAAAAAGCTGCAATTGTACCAAGAGAAGAAATAAGCCACATCATAGAAAGGAGCATAGGCAAGACTGGGTTATGTTGACATTCAGATTCCTGGTACCAGTTCACTCCTAAAGTCTGACTACATCCCTGCCCTCAGGTTCACTTGAATATAATCCCCTTTGGATTCTTGAAGTATATTTCTCTTTTCTGCCTAAACCGGTTTACTTATAGTAAAAAAGACCAAGTGAATACATACTTTATGTGCCCTTGCAATGATCAAAATGACACATTTAGACTCTATTAAATGATAAAAAATAAAAAAAGACAGAAAAATCTACATAGAAATATTTGAAACTGCACACATTTATGTCATACACCTTTCAACAAAACAATCAATTCAAACATTAATTTGATTAATTTCTTGTGGTTTATTTTTTATGCACCTACTACTGATTCTAGTGGTAGTATAAAATATACCACCATTTCATGGCAGAGGCCATATTAGTGTGGCAACATGGTCTCTGAATTATTGGCTATGCCTCTGTGGATATTTGTACTTATGAAGACATTCATATTTTATGTATGAACATGCTTTTCTTGAAAAATTTACACCATTTGCCAACTGGATGCTAGTGATTTCCTCTATGACTCTGTCCTTTCAAATATGCATGAGTCTTTGAATCATCTGTCCAGCAATGATGATATTTCTACTATCATCTATTATGTCTAACAATTGTAATACTCCAGAGACATGCACATTTTTTTTTGTTTCAGCATTTTTGTGGAGTTTTACTCAAATCTCAGTGCTAACCTCTTTGACAGCTAAGAAATTGTATTTTATCCTTTTCCCATGGTTGAAAATCAAATCACCCCAAATTATTTAAATGGGTATTTTAACCTTCACAGACTTCTCCATTAAGGTCTGTCAAGATTTTTCATTGTCCTTGGCCAAGAACTTTCATGTAATAAATTCTTTTTAATGCATTCTTCCTTTTACATAAAATTGAAGCCTCTACAACAACCTGCAGCTATTCACCAAATCAACATTCTTTTATAGTTCTTCATAAAGCCGGCCTCGTCAGTTATATAGCTCACTACAATCCTTGGTCAGACTACGTCACGTGGTAACTAAGTTAGAGAATTTTAACTTAATGAAGGTAAAATGATTTCGACTTTGTGGATGAGATTCTCTGTAATTATATGAGCTAAGGAAATTTCAACTATAGTTAGTCCCCATTTGCTTCCCACAGGTGTGTGGTAACAAATATATACACATTAGGATTCTACTGAGGCATAGGAAGCAAAGGTCTAAAAACTGTTAATCAGTCACATTTCTCTAATAGCCTTAAACTAGCAACCAAATTGTTGGAGTTAAATGAGCAAGAAGCCCAAAGTATCACTTCCGTGAAATACCTCTTTTTGGCTATTATTTGGCGGACTATTATGTTATAAAATAAATCAACACTGGACCAAAGAAGGTAAGTGTTATAAATATTCAGAAAAATAGAAACAGGAAAACAATATTTCTTATTCACTGGTGCTGCCGCAACATAAAAGAAAGAAAAATAAGAGAAAATGGAAGGATTGGTAAAAGAAGATGTGGGACTTTGGAGTTGCACTGCTCAGAACTCCCTTCAAGAGAGCCTGCTGTAAGGAGCTTGTCTGGCTGACAGCCTCCATTGGCTACTTCTCCACCTTCAGCAGAGTACTCAAGTCCACACTGCTGAGGCCACACTGCCACTGGGTAACTCCTGGCCATTGGCTGTGCAAAGCAGCAATAGCAGAGCTGGCTCATTTCTGCCTGTACCTAGGACTCCTCTATAGGGCAACTTTTGCTCAAAACCTCACCAAGACTTTCTCAGAACTGCATTGTAATATGAAGTTCTTCCTATTCAACAGCCTTCTCTTTTTTGTTTGTTTGTTTGTTTGTTTCTCCTAGTGTCTAGTATCAGGCATTACGCACACATCTATCTGAAGGCTATCTACACCTTCCTTTACTCCCTCTCCTCTTTATCCTTTACAAGCCTTTCCCTCCATAAATGGGATTTGCATAACAAGTCCCAACTTAGTATCAACTTCTCAGAGGCCCCAAGCTGACCCAGAAACTAAGGTCAAAGAAACATATTTTCCTTTACGAAATATAATTTTTACACCCTATTTTGGCTTTTTGTCACTTAAAGGTGAGAAAAATCTATAATTTGAAAAATGTTTGACATCAATGGCAAAATAAATTAAAAAACAAAAAAAGTTTTTGTGTCCCTTTCTTTTACCCTTCCTCCCTCCCTCTTTCTTTTCCTCCCTCCTTCCCTGTCTGTTTTCCTCCCTCCCTCCCTCCCTTTTAAAATTTTTTTTAAATACGAAAACTGAAATTTGGCAAGGCATTTTATTTAAAAATTCTGTCCTCTCTATTGTAGATCTGAAAGCTTGTAAACAATTTTTTGTGGTGTTCTTTGTAGTGCCACTCATAGTGATAATTGTGGTAGTCTTTGATAGCTATTCTTGGTGTTCATACATGGATGCACACAGCTTTAAGAAGAAAGACTGCTATTACCAATGTAATTGAATCAAACTCATTATTGGACAATGACTAGCTTGCATACATTACTAAAGACACCTTTAGAAAGATTTCACTGGTGAATTTTTTGGGATAATAGTATAAAGAAACAAAAAACTGTTCAATTTAATATGTTATTATTATGTTAATATGATAATATGTTAAGAATATGCTATACACATATTCTTCATATAGGTAAGATCAAATTTGGGGTAGCATATGCCAGCTAAAGTGCTTTGTTAAAACTCTCTTTTACTTTCACATCTGTTCCTTTATCTTTTCATTAATATTTAGAGACAACATATACTATTCATTATTAGAATGCTCACAATAAACTTTAACAATATTTGAATTATGACACATAGGTAAAGAAAGTTTCATTCTCTACTATCTGACCCTTATGATTAGTTTATGGACTATAACCAGACCACCACAAAGACAAAATAAAAAATTATATGTAAGAACAAATATATGGAATAAAAAGCATAATATTTATTAGTGTAATTGTAGTTGTACTCTCACAGAAGGAAAGCATTAGTTAAGGTACAGAAATAATAAAAAAGAAGAACAGTTGGTATAATTTTGAGATTGCTTTTAGTTTTGATTTTGCCTTGTTTTGCTTTAATACAAAAAGGTATTAAATACTAATAAGCAACATCTTATTTTGTTCACTTTAATTTTAATATCAAGATCACTGTATTCCTATCATATTTTCATTCTGATCTCTCACTATTTTCCAACAGTGATTCAAGTGTGACTGATCCATTTGCCGTTCCCTAAAATCACTTTTTTCTTTCCTGTCTCTATACTTTGTTTACAGCTCATCTTCACCGAGAGACCTGTAACACCTATTGAAATCCACCCACTTACCTTTCATGTCCAGAGCTACCCAAGCTGCTTCTGATCCACACAGATAAAATATATCACCCTTCACAGCTAATATTAACTCTTTGGTTCAGGAAATGTGTGCCCTCCTAAATTTAAAACTCTTTGGACATAACTGTAATTTCCTTTAATAACCACTATCTCTTTTCTAATGACTGCTTCTTATCTATCACGTCCTTCCAGTTTTTGAACTTATTTTGTTCATATTTGGTAGTACCAACTTGAGCAAATCTTTAGAGAAGGCCCAAACATAGCACAGTACCAGCAACCATAGACATCTAAAAATGTATTTATTGTTCCCTCATATTTAAATGAGAATTTGCCTGAATAATGAACTCTGAGTTCTTCTTTTACCTGTCTTTTGAGATTTTGAAAACATACTTCATTTTCTTCTTGTGTCTATTATGAAAGATAAGATGTCTGAAGTCCACCTGTTTTTTGAACTTCTTTATAAATAAGTTGTAGAAGGTTTTGTTTTAGGGGTTGCAATACTTTTCCAGGGTCTGTATAAGTGCTGGTCTTTTCTTAGTTATTTTGCTCAATCCAAAGAGTTCCTTTCCGTCTGAAGAAGGATGTTTTTCTTCAAGTCAAGGAGACCTTCTTTTCTTATTTGTTTGATTTTCTGCTCTCTTATCTTTTTATCTGTTTCCACCAATATCTCTTTTTAGGAAGATATGGCAAGTTCTTTCATTTCCTAAAATTTTTAGAGCACCTTCTTGACTCATCTTTGGGTTATTCGTTTGGCCTATCATTATTTAAATCTAATATCCAGCCCTTTCATTGATTAAAAAAAACTTTTCGATCTATTTTGAACAGTTCTCAAACTTTTTGTTGTTTTCTGATTGCTTCTTTTTATAGAAGCTTGATTTTGTTTTCGGATGCAGCATCCTCTATAATCCTTCTGAGGACATCCATCAGAATTTTTTTTTCTTTTGTTCCCTAAATTATCTGTTCTCTTCCTTGTCATTTGTTCTGATTAAGCCTTCTATTTCATGCTGTTAATTTTCCTAAATTGTGCTGATCTTTGGTTTCCTAGACATACATTTAGGTGGCCAGCAAAGATTTTCTCAGCAGTTGTGTCATCTGTCTCTCACAAAAGCATCCTTCTCAGTGGGAGGGTTAATAAAGCTGAATTATTTTTTATCTCCAGAGCTTCATCTTTCTGCATCAAAAATCCTGTCAAACTTTTCCTGGGCACTTTCTAGAATGGGTGTAACTAGTCCCTATATGACCCAGTCTCTAAGTGCACATATTTTCTCTCTTTTCAAAACTGTATGCAAAAAGCTCTTAACTACTTGATTAAACTCCCACTGTGTTTTTTCTTTCCTTTTTGTTCTCATAAGAATATAAACGCAATTTTCCCCTTCCTAATTTTCTCTCTTTCTTTCCAAGGCCTTGCTGACCTTACTTATTTCATTGAATTCATTGCCTTTCTACATTATATTTCAGCTAAGTAACCCATTTTCTTCTCCTTTTGAAGAATTGAACTTCATCTGGCACTTCTAGTCAATTCTGATCACTCTACAATCTTTGTAACTTGCTCTCCTGTCTTTCTGTTGCTCACCATGCGGATGACTCAAATATCTGTCAGTGGTCAAAGATCTGGGAGGAGATCTGGGAGGTATAGTTAAATGGTGTCCTTTGTCTAAACCCATTTACCTGAAATGGGAGACTCACTGAACAGTGTACCTGCTGGGCTATTTCTTTGACTAGAGAAGAATGTATTCTCATTGATTTTCTCTTCCTCAAACCTTTTCTCCATGTCTTCATTCACCACTTCTCTTTTTCAAGGCTGCGTCCATTACCATCCCCTTCTCTTTGAAATCTTTGGATCTCCAAATGGGAATTGCCTACCTTTTTCTGCTGCTGTATAAAGGGAGGCAGCAGAAATATGTAGGAGAGGAGAAAGCAAATCAGGGTAAGCAGGAGGGACTTTGTGACTTTAGATAAGAGAGAAAATATTTTGCAAATATTAAATATTTGATTTCGTTTTGCCCTCAAAACGTATTCTTTTGCAGCCTTCTGAATTCAAGTCCTAATCCCATAGTGTATTACGCAGGAAGAAATAGAAAGGTAAATCCTAGAAGAAAGAAGCCACTTGTCAGGATTGAGTCCTGAGGCTGAATTTCTTCACATCTTTAGCATGACAATGATTATCAATGCTAGAAACACTTATAAAGAAATAAGTTTCTAAATTACTTTAGATGCTAGCATATTGATATTTGAGGTCTCTCTTACTCTAACCACAGCAGAGATCTCAGGAGATTCAGATAATTCCAATGTTAATTCAATGACCTTCTTAATCTCTCTTTTATTGCATGGTTACATAAACTCCTACTCCATGTACATTGATACCGTCTAGAGAGGAGCATGAGAGCGCCGTACCTGGGACATATTTGAGCACATCCCTGAGACATCCAAGCAGAGGATGAATTACCTGAAAAGACTATTTAAATTATGATATATGCAATTACTTATTTATACATTTAATTATCTATATTTATTATTGATAAATATTATTTTATATGTCTTATTTTTATTTACTGAGAATTTACTATGCGCTCAGTAAATATATTAGAAATAGAGTGACAAAACAGAATAATGAATCCCCATTCTTATGGAGCTTTTATTCTACAAAAATTATTGGATCACAATAAGTTCACCAACATTGGACCAAACATTTATTTTCTGAACACTGTGACTTTTTTTGTTTTTTTTGTGTAAAGTCTTTGGTAGTTCCCTGGCCCTTTTAGCACCTTTGCATCTTCTTCATAGAGCACAGGAGCAATTTAGAGTCCTTTATATGTGAGGCAACACAAAGGATCATATTGTCAAATCCAAGTGACACACAAGTCAGATATATTACCCAGTGTCTAACTTTCCTAAACAATGTCAAAAATACAAGTAAGTATCCAGATGAAGAAGGAAAATGTCTGGATACACCAGGTCCCAGGTCCTAGGTGCTTCCTTCACAGATCGGTCATGCTCTATGACCAAGAAAAATACATGAGATCTTTAATGAAGTGCACAAGGCTGCCTTACACAACAGGGAACATCTCAGTTATTTAATATCCTCATTTATACTTATATATTTGCATAGCACATATGACAGAGTCTGCAGTCATGCTTCATGAATCTGTAGATTCTATAATTGTTTACCATAAGCAACCCTAAACCAGGAATATCCTGTTAAAAGAATTCCATAGGTAAAATTCTCTTCCTGATAAATATTGGTTTATTTTCCAGGAGGTTTGTTATTAGTACTTTTACCAGAAGATTAGACCAGATTGCCTGCTTTTTTCTTCCCCAGGAATATCCTGGCCTCCCTTCCTATAGGATTAACAGGGATTACAGGACAGTTGTTTAACTCCATCTTTTCCAAAATGGAACAAGTTCTGAAGAACCAAGACCACAGTCTTAGGCTCATCTATTTATCTGCTTTTCTCTGCCATGTTCATGTACCTACTAATAGGGCATTTTGATATGGCAGAACTGAAAGGGGAATATTTCCTAAGGGCCTGCAGCTTTCTGACACTTTCCTCCCCTGGTTAAATTTGGAAGCCTCTATGGCACCCAACCTGAGCTGCGGACCAGGTGGGAGCATGAGGGAGGATAAGAACTCTGCCTCTGATATCCTTGCTCCTTCTCACTCTCCCTTTTAATTTCCAATAATCTACCAGAACATGAATGACTGGATTTTTCTCTCTTTCTCCTCATCCTTTATAAAAAAAATTGATGTTCTAGTATGCTCTTAACATCTTAAAAGTAGGGCCAAAGGGACTTAGAATTTTTAAAAATTTCATGACAAAGTACAGTTTTCAAAATTTCTTCAAAGGAATCAAGAAAGCTAGTCCAGTAATTGAAAGTTAACATGACGTCCCTTTGTTTTAAGCAAAAGCATTTATTTTCCATGTATACCAGAAAGTCTAGAAATCAATGACTTTTGAAGCTGGTTTAGTAGCTCAGTAATGTCAGGGCCAGAGTTTCTGATCTTTAGCCTTGTCCTCCTTTCTTTCTCCTCATTGTCTAGTGAATGATGCTTCATCTCCAGACAGCACATAGGTGCTAAAAGCAGAAAGAAGGATACAAAGAGAAGTGACAGTCTCATTTTTCCACTAATTACAAAGAGAAACCCTCTCAGGACTTGCAAAAGGATGCTCTTTCAATCTCACAGACCTGAAATATATTATATGGTATTCCCTAGCACTAGAGAGGCTAGACAAATGAATATTTTTCATGGGATAAGAAATAATGTTGCTGTAAACAAAATTATATTTTGGTTAGTAAAAAAAGAAGGGAGAAATTTAAGATTTGGCTTATAATTAATTTTGTCAGTCACAGACCTATATACTTGTTTCTAGTGTATCACATGTGCACACATATGCTCACCCACTTACATAGTCTTTTATCATCATTGAGTTAACATCCTTTTCATTTAGGTAACCTAGACTTATTTAAGTATCATTATACTATTTTTACGGAAGATAGGTATGTGTCATAAATATTTTTTGCAGTTTGAATTCTCCAAGAAGCAGACTTTGAGAAAGAATTTTGCATGCAGTGTTTATTAGAAATCTCTGGGATCAACATCTGTAAAGGAGAAGGGAAAGAAAGTGTTGGGGAGCTACATCCCAAACTGAGCCCACAGGAAAAATTTGGAAGAAGAATGGTCCTCCATAGTGGTCTTGAGTTCAAAAGAAATAATTAGTCATTTGTAGCCCCATGTCCATCAGTCATTGAATGTGAGCCATGTAGCCTTGGACCTGGAGGCTGGGTTAACACAATTTCAGAGGGGCTGGCTATGAAAGGGTGGCAGCGGACATGCTCGTAACAGTAAGGACAACAAGATGTTCATTGTTTCACTGAAGGAAAATCTGAATGGTGCATCACTAGTTAACAAGGTAATTATTTACCACAAATAAAATGGTACAATTGTATTATCTTGATATTTATTGCTTGACATATTTTATTATACACGCTACTTTATTCAAGTCAGAGATCCATAGCCTTAAACCTGATACTGAATTCTAGAGGGAAAATGCAATTACATGCAATAGCAATTACATGGCTAAGAGCTAAGTAGCTAATTAGAGTTGAGGTTTATCCTTTTAAAGAAACTGTGGATAGAATTTCTGCTTATACAGCACTGTGAAACATCTATTATCATCTATGCTATAGATGAAGAAACCGGTTAGGTTACTTGCCCAAATAACTTTTTTATTTATGGAAAATATTCGTCTTTAGATTTAGTATATTTATTGCAATTTGGGAGACAAATTAGACCTAGAAACACTGTTAAATAAAGTAATATATGTGAAAAAGCTTTGTTAACTGCCAAGTTCTATACAGACATCTATTAATTTTATTATTCCAGAGTAGTTGAATGGTGACATTTTAGTGACTATTTAATCTACCTTATTATTTTTATGTATGAGGAAAGCCATTCAAAACAGTCTCAGAATCTTCGAATTTTTAAAATTTATGATTATGTAGTCATTGTGTTAATAGCTAACTCTGAGGTTCAACTCTTTAGATTCTAAGCTGTGCTTTTTCTTTTATCCATATCTCATTCTAAAGAGGTTTCCTCCATATCATTGGGGAGGTGATAATTTCAAACATAAAGAGTGAAAAAATATTGCTATTTTATCATTTAAAACACAAAGGTGAAAAACAATTTTCATGATGCTTTTAAAGTACCATGAAGTAGGAGAGATGTTATGTACAGACAATTTTTTTTAAGTGAAGAGTGAAAACCAGACCTGAAGAACAAAAACATGTCGTATTTTTCTGGCCCACATCAGGAGAGAGTGCTATTATTCCAAAAAAGTCTCAGTTTTTAAGCAGATAAATTCTAGGAATGGAGAAGAACAATTCATTGGACTATGTTGTCCTGATAACAGTATATACAACACTTTTAGTTTGCTTTTATCAAGTACTTTAACTTTGAATTGTTTATCAATAATACATTAAACAACAAGATGCCCCATGCAGAT
This sequence comes from Homo sapiens, assembly GCF_000001405.40. Lineage (NCBI taxonomy): Eukaryota > Metazoa > Chordata > Mammalia > Primates > Hominidae > Homo > Homo sapiens. Next base: position 83,209,265 of record NC_000007.14, read on the forward strand.
TTGAATTTTGGTACTTGGGCCAGGTATAAAATTGTAGGTGATAAGAGAACAGCACATATAAATCATTCCATTAAGGTGATTTGAATCCATGAGTCATAAGCATTTTGTGGGATAAACTATCTTAAGAAAAGTGAATCTGAACCTGACTTCCAGATGTCATGTGACTGCATGAAATGGCTAGCAAAACTTATGTTCTATTTCATATGTTTTGTGCTTTCTCATAGAAGTTCTCAAGAAACACTAGGCAAATACCTGAATTAAAACAGTATATCCTTTATTCACAAAAATATATACATTAAAACATGTAAATTAGATACATCAGAGAGTTTTTTATGTTATAAAAATTCTCAGTACATTAACATATTTACCAAGTTTTAAAGATGTACATTTGAAACACAAATATTATATAAAGATTCATTTGATTCACCCTATAAATTATGGAGAAAGTTTTCCTTTTTTAACAAAACTTAGAAAAAAGATTATAACTTGTGATAGTTTGTTTTATTATTCAAAGTACACTGCACTGGTAACCAAGAGAAGTAGATTTTTTTTTTCTTTTTTTTTTTTTTTTGAGATAAAGTCTTACTCTCACCCAGGCTGGAGTGCAGTAGTGTGATCATGGTTCACTGCACTGCAGCCTCAAACTCCAGGGCTCAATTGATCCTCCCACCTCAGCTTCCCAAGTAGCTGGGGACTATAGCCGTGCACCACTATGCCCGGCAATTTTTTATTTTTTGTAGAGATGGGATCTCACTGTGTTGCTCTGGCTGGTCTCAAACTCCTGGACACAAACAATCCTCCCACCCCAGATTATATGCATGAGCCAACACACCCAGCTGACAAGTAGGGATTTTAATATGCACACTCTCCCTGAATATAAACACTAACAACGTATATTTATTAATGAATTTGGGTAGTTAAAATCTTCCTAAACGCACACATTTAAGAATCACTCTGAGGCAGGGCATAGTGGCACATATATGTAGCCTCAGCTACTCAGAAGGCTGAGGCAAGAGGATCGCTTGAGACCAGGAGTTCAAAGCCAGCCAGGGCAACATAGCAAGAACTCATCTCTAATAAACAAACACACAAACAAAGCCCCTGAAAATAATCATTTTACTATTGAAATCTGTGAAAAATGTGAAAATTCATACATTAGGCAAGTATGTCTGATTTAAATTCTGAAGATATGACTGAGCCTACACACTCAAAATCTCAATCTTGTGCCTTCAAATAAGTGTTTATATTTTTTCTATATTAATACATAAATATAGAATATGGTCATAAAATGGTATCAGTAATTGTATTTTTAAATAAGAATAACTCTAATTTATCACAATTATGACTAAGAAATAAGATTAGAATAAATTATATTCACTTTTGTGGTGAATATAATACAGAGTGGCCTTGCTAGGCTGTGACTCATTGACAATGACAGAACGTTGATACATGGAAAGAATAGCTTTGCATTTTTTTGTATGTGTGACAGGGTCTTGCTTTTTCACCCAAGCTGGAGTACAGTGGCATGATTTGGCTCACTGCCACCTCCACCTCCTGGGCTCGCTTGATCATCCCACCTCAGCCTCCAGAGTAGATGAGACTACAGGCGTGTGCCACGAAACCCAGATTATTTTTTTTTAATTTTATTTTTGGTAGAGACAGGGTTTTACCATGTTGCCCAGGCTGGTCTTAAACTCCTGAGCTCAAGCTATGCCCCACCTGGGCCTCCCAAAGCATTGAGATTACAGGCATGAGCCACCATCCCTGGCCAAGAGCTTTTCTTTATGAAGTAGTTATGGCGGTTTTTATTTTTTTTGGTGGATGCTATTACTGTGTCACTTACTCCTATGTGGAATCTTAAATAATGTACTAAGTTTTTTTTTTTAACTATTTTTTAGAAGACTGTGCTAACCTGTATATTTTGCTTGCTGAATTCTTTTAGATGTTCTGCATACATAGAAAAGCAAAGTCGTATTTCATTACCTAGAGCATTATAAAAGCTTTATTATTTTTAATGACACCTTTATTAATTCATTTTTATATTATGATTGCAAACGAAAGGTAAGGTAGTCATTCTGCTTTAGGAAACAGCATCATTGAACTACTAGAAGAAAGTCAAAGTTCTACAATATTTAAAAATTACAGATAAAAACTGAGAAAGATAAACATTTGAGTGTTTACAGGTTGATAGAGGCCCTCTTCTGAAGTAAATGTAGACACCTTGACGAGCAGCAGTGAAAATTGCTGAACAGCTCCCATAAGTTACAACTAAAAATTAATGACAAAGAAAATGACTTTTTACTTCTTTTTAAAGTGCATAAAAATAAATTCTAGATTTAGAGAAGAAGCTAAAATTTGCTTATTTTTAAATTTAAGACAGAAAAGCAATAAATAATGCTTAATATAGTAAACTATGGTTGACGCTGAATTGCAAATATTTTTGAAGAAGAAATAAATAGTGACACAAATAAATAGGAAGTGTAGATTACATGATTGGGAAGTCTTGTTTCCAAAATCCCATCTCCAAGAAAGAGTGAATTGCTTGTGCTTAAGTCCTTAGCAACTCAATGTAGAAGCATCCTTTGCATTTCTTTAAAGTATTGTTTAGAAATGATTAGCCTGCAATGGCATTAATTGATTTTACTTTGAATGTATATTGAGCTCACCTGGTGAATTAAGTGAAAGAGGGAGAAAGTGAGAGAGACACAGAGAAAAAAAATTTAGCATAGAGCTAGTAATTTAGGGAGGCCTGACCTCACACTTATAAGCAATTTTATCATAAAAAATTATTTTAAAAATTATTTCTAAGGGTACACACTAAGTGATATGTTAGGGAGGTCTCAGTGTGTACCCACAAGGAAAATGTTAAAAACAAAACCAAAAAACAAACTATTCTAAAGTTATGTGAATGAGCAATTGGGCTTGTATAAAATTTCAAATGATATTCAAAACTTGCTGTATCTGAACAATTTAGTCAGTCAGAAATAAAGACAATAGGTTCTGAAAAATTGTTATATGAGTCCAAAAGTGCCTCTAGTACCAATAAAGGTACAATGTCAAATTTATGTGTGAAGACATTGAATAAAATAGTGTCATAAAATGTGAGAATAAAAATAATGTTTTGAAAAATGCTTTATATATGATATTTTTAGTATATTTATAGAAATAAATTTAAAAATGAAAGAACAGAATTTTATCTAGATCCATAAGAATACATATCACAATATCTGGGGGTTATTCTAATTAGGAAAATATGAACCTAAATTTGGCATCACCTAATAAATAACATAAATATTATTTAAAATTAAGTGAACATAATTAAGAAGAAAGTCATTTAAAATTTCTTATCAACTCTAAATTTCAGCTACATTTTTTCTCAATGTAAAACAGCACTGCAAAATATAGCCATATTTCCATGTGAAAAAAATTACATAGAAATGGTAAATTACCTTTTAATGATTAAAAAATTTAGGCAAATTACTCCATTCTTCAGTGCAAGAATTAAATTATATGATAAAATATACCTTAAAGGATTTTATTAAAAACTAGTATTTTAAAAAATAGATGAGGAAAAGTAAATTTTTATGATCATAATAGAACTTACATCTTTAAATTAAGACATATCTTTTGACATAAGTCCTTTGTTGATTCTCTTAAGTTATAACATCTTGGTGGACTTCTACAAAAGATGCTTGCAATTTAAGGATTTTTCTGAGATGCTAATTATTAAATGAGATATCACATAACTCCACTATTATTGATCTTAAAAAAATCAGAGAATTCAGAACACACAGCACAAACTGCTGAATCATGTATTATCTCTTTTAAACCGGTTCTTAGAAAATAGCCTGTCAGCATGGAGCATTTCTGGGAATGTGATCAGAGAGCACCTACCCGGCAGAAATTCTGAACATTTTTGACAGATAAATTTGAGCCTGAAGAGCTATTTTTATATTTCCCTCTCTTTAGTCAGAGTTTGGATTAATAAGCCTAAGGATATTTTATTGTATATAAGGTATCCTGATGGTCAACAAGAAGATACTAGCTTTCATTATCCCATCACATAATGTATGAGGAGAGTCAGAAAACATTGCTTTGTTTCTGCCTTCTTCAGGACAGGGCCTTCTTAAAAATGTGGATTCTTGTGCTCCATCCCAGACCAGATACCAGGAGCAAATATGTACTTTTTTAAAGCTCTTGGGTTTATTCTTACGTATTGTGAGGTATGAGTTCCATCTATTCAAAGAATAACAGAGTGACCTAATTTATATTAGTCTTTAATAGATATAATTATGCATATACCTGTAGAGGAGAGTATGAAATATGTCATTGTAGAGGAAGAAATCTATATAGATATGCTGTTTGTCCATTTATATTGAAGTGACTTTTTTAAAAATGAAAGATGTGTTTGAGAATCCTGTGAGATAATAGTGGCTGCTTACATCCCTTCCTAACAGTCCAAAAAGTCTCATGTATACATTGTAGATTAATAAAGCAAATAAAATCCCTGATGGCTCACACCTCTAGATAAACAGAAGTCTACACACCCAAATCTGCATGTTATTGAGAAAATAAATGCCAGAGATTGTCAGGAGACCAGCAGAGATGGCTCCAGAGTCCAGAACGAGTGGGGTGGGAGGTGATTGGGCAAAATAAAGGAAAGGGTCACAGGCTCTAGCAGCAATGGAGCACAGATAACATCAGTTAGGTTTTGTTCCCAGAAAGCAAAGGACTATCAGTAGAAACTACTGAAATAACTTCTATGTCAAGGTAAATGATAATCCTGGATACTGAGTACCTGAAGGGAAGGGTCCTGGAGAGTGTGCAGGATCTAATGTGGCAGTTTCAGGAAGGCACTGGTGCTGAGAAAGAAAGTGGCATCTTGGAAGGCACCAGACATTTTTGGAAATTTATTGGTGAAAGGACAAAACGAGGTTAAAAAAAGTTCTCAAAAAATTAGAAGAGGTCAGACATAACAAAAGGCACAATTTATTATTAATATAAGGAAACTATCCTTTACTCTAATAATTGAAGAAAGGAGCAAATGAACTGAAAAACTAAAGGAGTTGCATAGTTTCTCCCAACCACTTGCCCATAGGATCACCAGATATTGCTGATTCAGAAAAATATAACCCAATTAAAATAAAATAAACAAGAACAATTTCAATGTCATTCATATAAAGTTACTATAAACATTTTGGGAGGATGGGGTGGGAGGATTGCTTGAGGCCAGGAGTATGAGACCAGCCTGGGCAACGGAGCAAGGGCCTATCTCTACAAAATATTTTAAAAATTAACCAGGTATGGTGGCGTGTACCTGTAGTCCCAGATATTCTGGAGGCTGAGGCAGGAGGATCCCTAGAGGCTAGGAGTTCAAGGCCATAGTGAGCTATGATCATATCACTACACTCCAGCCTGGGCAACTGAGCGAGACCTTGTCTCTAAACATAAATAAATAAATCAAGCTACTATAAGATATATATATATGTGTGTGTGTGTGTGTGTAATATATAACATTTATATTACATTTAAATTATATAATTACATAAATTATGTTATTTAATATTTATATTATTTATAAATGTTAAGAAAAACAAAGTTAGAGAAATTATGGCACCTGAGATCAAGGCTTATACACGTAACAGTACACCTGAGGAGAAACAGATCAATAGAACAGAATAGGGGGTTCAGAAAAAGATGTACATGTATGCTGTCTCCTGATTTACAACAACATTGCTATTGCAAATAAGTGGAGAAAATGGGATATATAAGCAATAAAAGGAACTAGCACAATTGGGCATCTGAATGAAAAACAAAATACAGAGTCCTACCTTAGAGCATACCAAAAGGGAAAAAAAAGAATCATATAACTTAAAGTGAAGGGTAAAAGTATTCATAATTTAAAAAGAAAAAAAATTGAGAATATCTGCCTGACAAAGATGTCTTCAGCAGGATACCGAAAATATTAACCATAAAAGAGCAGATCACCAGGCACAGTGGCTCATGCCTATAATCCCAACACTTTGGGAGGCTCAGGTGGGAGGATCATCTGAGCCTAGGAGTTCAAGACCAGCCTTGACAACATAGTGAGATCCTGTCTCTACGAAAAAAAAAAAAAACAAAAAAACAACAGAAAATAGCCAGTCATGGTGGCATGCTTCTGTAGTGCCTGCTTCTTGGGTGGCTGAGGAGAGAAAATTGCTTGAGCCCAGGTGGTCAAAGCTTCAGTGAGCCGTGATTATGCCACTATACTCCAACCTAGGTAAAGGAGTGACACTCTTTCTAAAAAAAAAAAAAAAAAAAAAGAAAAAAAGAAAAAAAGAAAAGAGAAAGAAAAAAAAAAAGAAAAAAACCACTAAAACTGGATTTCATAAACATTAAGAACTTTTCTTAACCAGAAACATCAAGAGAGTCAAAATATTCCAAATATTTATATCTGACAAGGGCTTAATATAAAGAATATTTTAAAAAATAGAAATGAAAAAGAAAGCATAACAATAAAAAATGAAAAGAGGCAAAAGATGTGGACAGTCACTTCAGAAAAGTTAATATTGAAATGGTCAAAAGGCACATCAAGTTCTCATTAGGAAAATGTAAATTAAAGCCACAATATTATACCACCAATCATCAAATAGAATGGCTGAAATAGAAATAAGATAAAAATATTTACGTGAATGTTCATAGAAGCACTATTATTATAAAAAATATTTTTTAAAATTAACTCTTCTTCAGGAGGAGACTGGAAAAACTGTAATTTATTAATCCAATAGATTATTATAAGGTAGTTCAAGTGATCAAACTAGGGCCAGGCGTGATGCCTCACGCCTGTAATGCCAGCACTTTGGGAGGTCGAGGTGGGCAGATCATGAGGTCAGGAGTTCGAGACCAGCCTGGCCAGCATGGTGAAACCCCGTCTCCACTAAAAATACAAAAATTAGCTGGGCATGGTAGCGCGCACCTGTAATCCCAGCTACTCAGGAGGCTGAGTCAGGAGAATCGCTTGAACCTGGGAGGTGGAGGTTGTAGTGAGCCAAGATTGTGCCCTTGCACTCCAGCCTTGGGGTCAGAGCAAGACTCCATCTCAAAAAAAAAAAAAAGAAAGTGACCAAACTAGATCTGATGTATCAACATGTACACATCACCTTTAATGGTGATGGGGGATCACCAATTGCAAAATTATATATACCACCTGAAATCATATATCTATTCTCTATTTCATGGTTATACTGATATAATAGAGTCCACAAATGCATACTGAAATTAAAAAAAAAAAACTTCAGGGAATGGAGAGGAAAAAAATGTATGAGTATACGGACTTAGGCTACATCTGTATTATTCTTAAAAAATGAAAGAAAAGTTGAAAGCAAACATTTTTAAAAATGTTAATATCGGCTTAATTTTAGAGGTCAGCACATCAATACATAGTTTACATTGTTTTAGGTACTCATCTCTATGTTTAAATTTTTCACAATATTTAAATGTAAAACCAAGAAATAAGAAGACAATCATAAAAGAAACTGTCTTTTCAGAAATATTTACAATCTACCTTTTAGACAACCATGAGAAATAAGGTTTTGCTGAAACTGTTGAAGTAAATAATAGTGAAAAATATAGTTGATTATGGTGAAGAGCCACACAGTCAGTAAGTACCTGAGATAAATAGATGTTGCAAGGACCTGATGTTTTAGTGAGAATAAAACACTAGTTGGAAGTGAACTATATGTGCTGGGTAAGACAGTGAGCTATCACGAAGAGACACACTCAAAATATTACATCAACATTCCTCATACAACAGGATGGTTGAAAATGCCAGGTTCTCAAAGCTATTTGAGAAATGTTCACAGTAAGCCAAAATCTAGTGTTATTTTGAGATTTTACTATTATAAAGTTTTTAAAAACCAAAAGGCATTTTAAGAGAAAATTAAATTCCTAATCCCAATACTCCTCCATTACATCTGCAAGGGGCACTATTCCCATTGTATTATATAGAAATAGTCTATGTGCTATGTACATGTGGCAGTTTTGGAATTCTGCTAATAGCTTATTTCATCAGGTAGTCACATTTCTTGAGATATTCTCCACTCTGGAATTAATCTTTGAAAACAGCTGACATCTTTGGTTCTCAACTTGACTGTATTTTTGGACTTGGGAGTTTGAAAACACCCAGTGCCCAAGACACATGCCTGAAAAGTTAATCAGTCTATGGTTGTGGATCCCAGGTATCAGTATCTTTTAAAGCTCACTAGATTTGTGCAATATACAGACAAGTGTAAGAGCTTGACCTAAGAATTGACTCTGTTCTTTTTAAAAAACTTTTAAGTTCAGGGATACAAATGTAGGTTTGTTACATGGGTAAACTTGCATCATGGGGATTTGTTGTACAGATTATTTCGTCACCTAGATATTAAGCCTAGTACCAATTAGTTATTTTTCCTGATCCTCTCCCTCCTCCCACCCTCTACCCTTTTAAAGGCTCCAGTGTGTGTTGTTCCCCTCTATATGTCCATGTGTTCTCATCATTTAGCTCCCACTTGTAAAGCGAGAAAGTGCTCTATTTGATTTTTCTGTTTCTGTGTTAGTTTGCTAAGGACAATGGCCTCCAGCTCCATCCATGTCGCTGCAAAGGACATGATCTCATTCATTTTTATGTCTGCATAGTATTCCATGGTGTGTATGTACCACATTGTCTTTATCCAGTCTATCATTGAGGCGCTTTTAGGTTGATTCCACATCTTTGCTATTGTGAATAGTGCTGCAATGAACATGCACATGTGTGTGTCTTTATGCAGAATGATTTATATTCCTTTGGGTAATGATATGGTTTGGCTGTGTCCCCACACAACTTGAATTGTATCTTCCAGAATTCCCATGAGTTGTGGGAGGGACCCGGAGTGGGGTGGGTAGTTGAGTCAGGAGGGCCAGTCTTTCCCGTTGCTATTCTCCTGATAGTGAATAAGTCTCACGAGATCTAATGGGTTCATCAGGGGCTTCTGCTTTTGCTTCATCCTCATTTTCCCTTGCCGCTGCCATGTAAGAAATACCTTTTGCCTCCCACCATGATTCTGAGGCCTCACCAGACATATGGAACCGTTAAGTCCAATTAAACCTCTTTTTCTTCCCAGCCTTGGATATGTCTTTATCAGCAGCATGAAAAGGGACTACTAATACAGTAAATTGGTATCAGTAGAGTGGGGCATTGCTGGAAAAATACCCGAAAATGTAGAAGCAACTTTGGAATTGGGTAACAGGCAGAGGTTGGAACAGTTTGGAGGGCTCAGAAGATAGGAAAATGTGGGAAAGTTTGGAGCCTCCTAGAGACTTGTTGAATGGCTTTGGCAAAAATGCTGATAGTGATATGAAAAATAAGGTTCAGGCTGAGTTGGTCTCAGATAGAGATAAGGAACTTGTTGGGAACTGGAGCAAAGGTGACTCTTGTTATGTTTTAGCAAAGGGACTGGCGGCATTTTGCCCCTGCCCTAGATATCTGTGGAGCTTTCAACTTGAGAGAGATGATTTAGGGTATCTGGCAGAAGAAATTTCTAAGCAGCAAAGCGTTCAAAAGGTGACTTGGATGTTATTAAAAGCATTCCATTTTAAAAGGGAAACTGAGCATAAAAATGCAGAAAATGTGTAGCCTGATGATCAAATAGAAAAGAAAAGCCCATTTTCTGAGAAGAAATTCAAGCTGGCTGCAGAAATTTGCAAAACTAGCACAAGCCTAGTGTTAATCTGCAAGATCCTCGGGAAAACGTCTTCAGGCCATGTCAGAGACCTTCACAGTAGTTCCTCCCATCACAGACCCAAAGGCCTGGGAGGAAAAAGTAGTTTTGTGGACTGGGCCCAGGGTCCCCATGCTGTGTGCAGCCTAGGGACTTGGTGCCTTGTGTCTCAGCCTCTCCAGCCATGGCTGAAAGGGGCCAAAGTAGATCTCGGGCTGTGGCTTCAGAGGGTGGAAGCCCCAAGCGTTGGCAGCTTCCATGTGGTGCTGAGCCTGTGGGTGCTCAGAAGTCAAGAATTGAGGTTTGGGAACCTCCGCCTAGATTTCAGAAGATGTATGGAAATGCCTGGATGCTCAGGCAACAGTTCGCTGCAGGGGTGGGGCCCTCGTGGAGAACCTCTGCTAGGGCAGGGCGGAAGGAAAATGTTGGGTCAGAGCCCCCACAGAGTCCCTACTGGGGCATGGCCTAGTGGAGCTGTGAGAAGAGGGCTGCCATCCTCCAGTCCCCAGAATGGCAGGTCCACTGACAGCCTGCACCATGCACCTGGAAAAGCTGCAGACATTCAGTGCCAGCCTGTGAAAGCAGCTGGGAGGGAGGCTGTACCCTGCAAACCCACAGGGGTGGAGCTGCCCAAGACCACGGGAACCCACCTCTTGCATCACCATGTCCTGGATGTGAGAACTGGAGTCAAAGGAGATAATTTTGGAGCTTTAAAATTGACTGCCCCGCTGGATTTCAAACTCTCATAGGGGTTATAACCCCTTTGTTTTGACCAGTTTCTCCCATTTGGAACAGCTATATTTACCCAATACCTGTACCCCCATTGTATCTAGGAAGTAACTAGCTTGCTTTTGATTTTACAGACTCATAGGTGGGAGGGACTTGCCTTGTCTCAGATGAGACTTTGGATTGTGGACTTTAGGATTAATGCTGAAATGAGTTAAGACTTTGGGGGACTGTTGGAAAGGCATGATTGGTTTTGAAATGTAAGCACATGAGATTTGGAGGGGCCAGGATTGGAATGATATGGTTTGGCTGTGTCCCCACCCAAATCTCAACTTGAATTGTATCTCCAAGAATTCCCACATGTTGTAGGAGGGACGCAGGGAGAGGTAATTGAATCATGGGGGCTGGTCTTTCCTGTGCTGTTCTCGTGATAGTGAATAAGTCTCATTAGATCCGATGGGTTTATCAGGGGCTTCTGTTTTTGCTTTTTCCTAATTTTCTCTTGCCACCATCATGTAAGAAGTACCTTTCACCTCCCACCATGATTCTGAGGCCTCCCCAGTCATGTGGAACTGTAAGTCCAATTAAACCTCTTTTTATTCCCAGTCTTGGGTATGTCTTTATTAGCAGCATGAAAATGGACAAATACAGGTATATACCCAGTGACTCAGTTCTATTACTGAGTTTGCACCTACCTAACCTAACCTCATGCTTTTGGCTTTCTCATTCTGATAGTAACTGTTCCAAATAAATAATAAACAAACAATAAACGAATAGCTATGGTCCGCTATTTGGGAAGGTTATTATATTATTTTACATAATATAATTTTTGCTCATCTTCTGGACTTGCTCAAATAAATGTCTGCTCTTTTGGGAGATGCTCCACAGCCACATGAAGTTTGTTTATATGCTTTATGAGTCCTCATTTGCTCTGGAGCCATTTTTATGTATAGTTCTCCTGGCACTGTACAGTAATTATGTGCTTTTCTATTTTCTCCATTAGGTCAAAACAATTTAAGGTAAAGAAATGTTTCTTATTCATCTAGCACATAATAAATAGTAAATAAATATTTGTTAAGAATGAATAATCCAATTAAAAGATAATATTTATTACATTTTTGTAAATTCAGTGTATTCTTCATTGCAGATATCATGTCTTCAGTAAAATGATGCTAAATTTATGTATTTGTTTGGCTTTTTATTTTGAAATAATGTAATTTCTCTCTAATACCTCCTAGTAGTGTATCTGGACACTTTTACTGGGATAAGCACTTACAACAACTATAGGAACACTACTGATCAAATATGACTAACTGTCTCTACTTATTCATTTTCTCTCTCTGTCAAGGTACTCACCAAAATTATGGTCAACTTTTTTTTCAATTTTTTGAAAAAAAAAATCTATGCGCAGTTTCAGAGGTTGCACAGCTTTACAAAGAGTCTTACCAAAAAGCAGTTCTTTCTGCTCAGCCCTCTTTCATCCTCCTGCAAACAGCCACTTTGAGCTCCTCACTATTTCTTTATTATCATTCCTATCATTCAATCAGATACTAAGACTCCTTTTTTTTATTTTTCAATTTCAAGCATTATGCATTGACTTCCTAAAAAGGAAGATGAAAATTTAGATTATTTTCATAACTTTCCCACACCCACTACACACTTGCACCCACTGCAAACATTCATCCAATGCGTACATCCTCCAAAAATAGTTATAGTGTAATTTTGCCTGAATTCAGTATTGAGCATTTTTAGTATTATGATAATAAATGCTTTTCTTTGCATAAATTGTTATTTCTTTCAATTATTTTCTATCTCTGTTTTTATTGTTGGGTCTAAATTTTATGTTAGTTAATTTTCTAAAACGTTTAGTGAACTTTGGCTGCTAACTCATAATTGATACTTGGGCGTTAGAATGCTGATTGGAAGTTTTGTGTGCTTGGGCAGATTTGTCAAATATGGCTTTATTTTAGACCGAAATGACTATGTTCTTTTTTGGAATACCATCAGTATCAATATTTATAAATGTTTTCTTTTAGATGTCCTGGAGAATAATTGTCATATTTCTTGCTTAGAGGTTGTAAGCCTAATTTCCAAGATTCTAGGAGCCAATAGGTGACCAGATTTGGGAGATTAATGACCAGGGAAAAGCAAATTATAAGTACAATGTGATATCATAATATTTATCAGACAATAAATAGCATATGTTGGTGAAGATGAGAAGCAACTGAAATTTCCACACAATGCTGATTGAAGTACAAATTGGTACAACCACATTAGAGAATGGCTTTGCAAAATCTACTAAGGCTAAACATATCCATACCTTATGATTCAGCATTCCCACTTCTTAATATATACCCAACAATTGTATACATATTCCTATAGATTTCATCTTAGATTAAATAATGAAAGAAACTTACAAACATGTTTAGCAAAAGAACCTAGAACAAGAAATATTATATACTGTATAATTCTGCTTAGATAATGTGGAAAAACAGGCAAAACTAATCTATGTTGTTAGAAATCAAGATACTGGCTAATTTCAGAGGGGAATAGGAACCGGATGACAGCACAAAGTGGTGCTTCTGGAGAGCTGATGATGCTCTAATCTTGTGTGTTTGTTTTTCAGTACTTTTTACATGGATGTATTCAGTGACAAAAAGTTCTCACACTGGTAGGCGAAAACTGATTCTTTTTTATTTGTGGTAATAAGTAGTCATCAGAACCAGTTTTTAAACTTGTTCCATTGATCAAAAACTCACATCACATTTTCTTAACCCAGTCTATCGTTGTTGGACATTTAGGTTGGTTCCAAGTCTTTGCTATTGTGAACAGTGCCACAATAAACATATGTGTGCATGTGTCTTTATAGCAGCATGATTTATAATCCTTTGGGTTTATACCCAGTAATGGGATGGCTGGGTCAAATGTGTTTTCTAGTTCTAGATCCCTGAGGAATCGCCACACTGACTTCCACAATGGTTGAACTAGTTTACAGTCCCACCAACAGTGTAAAAGTGTTCCTATTTCTCCACATCCTCTCCAGCACCTGTTGTTTCCTGACTTTTTAATGATTGCCATTCTATCTGGTGGGAGATGGTATCTCATTGTGGTTTTGATTTGCATTTCTCTGATGGCCAGTGATGATGAGCATTTTTTCATGTGTTTTTTGGCTGCATAAATGTCTTCTTTTGAGAAGTGTCTGTTCATATCCTTTGCCCACTTTTTGATGGGGTTGTTTTTTTCTTGTAAATTTGTTTGAGTTCGTTGTAGATTCTGGATATTAGCCCTTTGTCCGATGAGTAGGTTGCAAAAATTTTCTCTCATTCTGTAGATTGCCTGTTCACTCTGATGGTAATTTCTTTTGCTGTGCGGAAGCTCTTTATTTTAATTAGATCCCATTTGTCAATTTTGTCTTTTGTTGCCATTGCTTTTGGTGTTTTAGACATGAAGTCCTTGCTCATGCCTATGTCCTGAATGGTATTGCCTAGGTTTTCTTCTAGGGATTTTATGGTTTTAGGTCTAACGTTTAAGTCTTTAATCCATCTTGAATTAATTTTTGTATAAGGTGTAAGGAAGGGATCCAGTTTCAGCTTTCTACATATGGCTAGCCAGTTTTCCCAGCCCCATTTATTAAATAGGGAATCCTTTCCCCATTGCTTGTTTTTGTCAGGTTTGTCAAAGATCAGATGGTTGTAGATATGCGGCATTATTTCTGAGGGCTCTGTTCTGTTCCATTGGTCTATATCTCTCACATATACACCATGGAATACTATGCAGCCATAAAAAATGATGAGTTCATGTCCTTTGTAGGGACATGGATGAAACTGGAAACCATCCTTCTCAGCAAACTATCGCAAGGACAAAAAACCAAACACTGCGTGTTCTCACTCATAGGTGGGAATTGAACAATGAGAACACATGGACACAGGAAGGGGAACATCACACACTGGGGACTGTTGTGGGGTCGGGGGTGGGGGGAGGGATAGCATTAGGAGATATACCTAATGCTAAATGACAAGTTAATGGGTGCAGCACACCAACATGGCACATGTATACATATGTAACAAACCTGCACGTTGTGCACATGTACCTTAAAACTTAAATAATAATAAAATTAAAAAAAAAACTCACTTCAGTGAATGTGCTTGTAAAATCAATGACAGTCCTTTACTTCTGAAAGTTAGTCTGTCAGGAATAGATTGTCTGCACTAAACCACACCTCTGAGTGACAGCTAATCAACCAAAAATCACAACCGGCTGAATACTACAGCTGATGTTAACCTCTACAAAATGACTTAACCTCTACAAGGATATCAATACCTGACCTCCACACTTTCCCAAAAGCTTTCTATTAAGACCACCAGTCTGCTCTGCTCAGAGACACTGACTGACTAATATAATTCTCCTTCACAAAAATAAGCAATACATTCCATTCTTTTTTAAACTCTGTATTGATTTGTGGTCTTATCCTTTAATTCCAGACTGTGAAAATTTATCTTGCTGCCTACTTATGATAGTGCCAGGTTTTTATGGATATCAATTACAACGCAATTTTTTTTTTTTTTGAGACGGAATCTCGCTCTGTCCCCAGGCTGGAGTGCAATGGCGTGATCTAGGCTCACTGCAAGCTCCTACAATGCAATGTTTTTTAAAATTCAGGGGGATATCTAGTTTTGACCGATTTGCATGAGTGGGACCAAATTTACCCTATTGCCTTAAAAAAACAAAAAGCAGACAAAATATATAAATCAATGGGCTTCAAGACATTGGACATTAGTCAATGAAGGGCACAGAGTTCTGAGAAAATGTCAACAATCTGATTCCTAGGTTTGCCCCAGTGTACCACCTTGAGAGAATTTCCAGGTGATGGCAAAGGCAGGAGGAACCCGAGTGGAGCCTGATGGATTCCCTGGGTTGAAGAAACAGAGCTAAGCATCTAATTTTTAAAAAGCACTCAGAAAATTCTGATGTATGTAATCTGTAAACAACTATTTGAGGTGAGAAACTGTTGTATAAACAGTAATATTGTATTTAGCCTTTTCCTAGTAACTTGTTGATTGATTACATTTTGTTCTTTTTGGCAAGTCACTTCAATTTCTCTTCCGTAAAAATGAGAATAATAATAGCAACTACCTCATGGAGTTGCTTGAATAGGTGAATTAGTAGATCTAAAAGTCATAGATTAATTCAGTGTATATGAATAGAAACCAGAGTTAGTCATGACACATTTGCTTGCTGTCTAGGCTCTTCACAACGTACTGTGAGAAGCTTCAAGATTATATGATGGACATCAGGTAATTCAGATGTCTAAGTACAATATTTCTACTTCAATGATGATATGGCTGAGTAAATTACTAAATTTCTTTGGTAAAAAATGAGATTATCTATGATTTACTTTCAAAATTCTTCATGGAAATAATATAAATAATGATGTGCTAAGTGTAAATCTTTTCTGACATGACATCTAAAATAATATTTGTTTAGTCATTTTTTCCTTGGAGTGTCACATACCCTCAATATTCTGGTCATATTTAAAAGACAAATTACTAGTCATTACTAGTCATTGTGTTTTTAAAAAGGTTGTTTTTTTTTAAAAAAAAAATGACAATGCATGTGAGTTCCTTTTCTGCTGTTTTTTGTTTTTTTTTTTGTTTTTTTTTTACAGTGACAAAAGGATTGAACAAAATGTTGTGAGAATAACTGAGCTATGTTATACAACCATATTGACATATGCTTCCATCTAGAAACCTTGGAATCTTTTGAAATTTCTTCTGAAAGCTTGGCTGTACAGAATGGATTAGTTGGCAGAGAAAAGCCACATGTTGTACTTGCATCTAAGTGAATTACAAAATTACAAAGGTTTGTTAGGTACTCTAATACAATTTCAAACAGTACAAGGAAATTAATGCTTTAGACATGAAGTGTTTACTGTAAGATTTTTTGGGAACCATGGCAATGTATGTATTATTTGAAAGAGCAGAACCAAACGTGATAAATAGCCTGTAATGTTCACTTCTTCCCAGGAGATAGCCAGATGGCTGTGTAATGCTTTAATCTGGCACAACTACCACTTATCAATTGTTTAGACTTTCGATTTTGAGCTGGATATTAATCCCTTGTGTCAACATTCTCTTTTATGGTTATACTCATATATAATCTTCAACTCTACTTATGTGTAAAGTTTAAAGATCCTCTAGAAATTACTTCTGTCAATGCAAGGAATTTCTAAGAGTATAGTACAACAATTATAGGAACAATTACAAATACGTATTATATTTTTATAGATAGTATCATATTGCCAATTAATACATTTTAAATATGGATTTTTGTTTGCTGGATCCATTTTTAATGCTAAAGTATAACCCATTGTAATTGTGCTTTGCTGATTTAGTGAACTCAATTACTGAAAAAAATCCTCAAGACCAGATATAATCCCAGAAGTACTCATCTAAAGACATAGTAATCTATTTAAAGAAAATCCTGGTTTATTGGTTCAGTACAGATACTTGCTTCTTTAAATTCATTTGTATTTTGGAGTCTCAGAGGGAAACAGAATAAAGTCATTGACAGTAGGCATGGTTACAGAGGCAAAGTCACAGATATAAGAAGAGTGGGGAATTGTTTTATTCATATTAATTAGACACTTTCCCCTGTGAAAGTAGATATATTTATTGTAACTTTTTTTCCACTTATCTCTTTTTCTAACCATAGAGCTGGTTTCTGCCTCAGCCACTCTAATGAAATTTTTGTCTCACAGTTATGGAGGGATGGCCTCCCTATTGCAAAATTAAATATATTCTGTTTTTAATCTTTTTCAGTATTTTCTATGCCGTATGAATTCCACTTCTCTGGAATGTGTCTCCTTTGGAATGCAAGACTTTCCACTACCTTAACAAATACTATTTTGTTAATTATTCTGATCTCATTAAAAAGTCTTTGTTGCTTTCTAGATCCTTTTTTCTATGTACATGTCTCATGTAATTCTGTCTCAGAAGTTCCTTAATTCTAACAGTGCCTAATAAAGTGAAGCCTGATGTGGCACCCCAATTCTCTTCCTCATATTTCAAATACTATACATTCAAATCCAATCCTATTTCCTACTATTAAAATAGTTTCCCTTTAATTTTCCTATGACTTTCATCACATATCTTTGAACGTAGATACTTGAATTCATCTTTCCCATTTTCCCTAATATTTATTCAATCACAAAGTATTGGCCAGTTTTACATAAAATATGCTTTATATCCATTTTACTCTTTTTAGTTTCAATGGGATGATCTGAATCTGGATCATTTCCTAGAATCTAAAATGCTAAGCATCTTTCTAGCTAGATTCCTAATCTGAGTCTTCCTTATAACCAGTATTTATTCAGAAAATAATTCTCTATTAATATTTTTACATTTCTACACAGTCTGGGCTTTCTGAACAGATTGCTGACAACCTGGGTTAAAGGATGACTGAATTGTAAACTGCCTCGGAATTTAAAGATAATGAACGGCTCTGGAAAAATTTGAAGACATCTCCTGCTATCATGTGATTGTTCCACCCCTTCCCCCAAATTCATATGTTGAAACCTACTCCCTAATGCAATAGTATTAAGAGGTGGGTTGTTTAGGAGGTAATTAGGTCATGAATATGGAGATCTCATGAATGAGATTAGTGACCTTATAAAAGAGGACCAAAGGACCTTGCTTGTTCTTTCCACAGTGTGAGGACACAACGAGAAGGTGGCATCTGTGAAAGAGAGAGCAAGCCCACACCAGACACCAAATCTGCTGGTGCCTTGATCTTGGACTTCCAGGCTCTAGAACTATAATCAATTTCTGTTGTTGATAAATTACCCAGTCTAAAGTATTTTGTTACAGTAGTCTGAACAAACTAAGATATCTCCCAAAGCCATTTGTTTACATTGTAAAGGTAATATAACCCAGACATACTTTCCCCCGACCCCTGCCAAAGACAGTTACTTTCTTCCAGGGCAGTGCCCTCTTCCTTCCTGGAAAGGATTTACTTGTTTACATTATGGAGTAAAAGCCAATCTCTCTTTCTCTCTCTTGCTCTCTGAAGGGAAGAAAGTATGACATGTCAGCCTTATTATAGAAGCTCCAAGTCTCAGAATTTTGGGGTTTCTTCCTTGTGATGCAAACCATGCCGTATGCACAAATGTCATCAGGTCCTCATTGTGCAAAACTTGGGGAAATTGACTGAAGCCCTGCTAAGATGCTCTGTAAGTAAATGGTCTGTTTTCTGATCCATAGATTTCATGTTTCCTATTAGGACAAATTAACTAATTAAACAAACACAAAAGCAAATTTAAAATTTTGAACAATCTAACCAAATAAATATTATTTAAGCAGTAATTTTATCCAATTACTTCTTTGCACCAAATATCTAGGGGATATTAATATAGTTTTTTGTTTGTTTATTTTTTACTACTGGGCTTTTAAAGTCCTTATTGTTTCCTAACATGATTTCATCCTCTAGTTAGTCTTCTCTGTTTCATAAACAGCTGGGCATGGTGGCACATGCCTGCAATCCCAGCAATTAGGGAGGCAGAGGCAGGATGATTGCTTGAGCCTGGAAGTTTGAGACCAGCCTGGGCAACACAGTGAGACCCCATTTCCACAAAAATAAAAAAAAATAAAATAAGTTTAAATGCTGTTTCACAAATAAAGCACATTTATTACTACTTCTTGAGAAAGTGAAATGTTTTCCTTACTAAGTGGTATTATTACAATACCACTTATTAATAGTTTATGGTAAAAGGTAAAATTTGATCCATAATTCATATCATAGGCCAGGATAGATAGATTAGAGAATTAACTATAAATAATGAAACCATAAAAATATGAAAATATGAATGACTTGCCCAACTATGACATAACACTCAAAAGCATAAAATTAAAAAAAGAAAAAATCATGGCAAAGACATCATATGCAAAGTACAAAGAAAAATGAAAATCTGTATTAAAAATGTTGATATTTATATAAACAAAGGTTTAATAACCCTAATGTACAGAGAGCTTCTGAAAATAAAAAAGGCAAATGTACAAACTTATAGCAGAAAAATCACAAAAACAAAATGCTGACAGAAAAAAATATTCAAATGCCATATGAAACGATGTTGGGTTTCCATCTTTTCTGATGAAAGCTCTATCATCCTTCATAGTGTTGTTCCTCTGTATTTAGGGTCTTTTTTTCCTTGTGGTTGCTCTCAAGATTCTCTCTTTTTCTTTCCTTTTTAGCAGTTAAACTATATGTAAGTAAGAATAGTTCTTCTTACTTACTATGTTTGTAACAGTTTGCTGAACTTCTCTGATCTATAAATCAGGATTTTTTTAGTTCAAACTTGGGAAGTTTTCACCTTTTACTTTTTAAATCATTTTTTTCTTTTTCTGCCCCAATCAATAGTTTTCTCTGCCAGTGACTTCAATTACCTGTATGTTAGAAACTTCTGATATTGTTTCACAGATCCCTGAAGCTCCATTTTTCTTTAATATTTTCAGATTGAATAGTTTCTAGTGCTTTGAGTTTACATTTACTAATTTTTTTATTCGCAATCATCTGTTAAGCTCATTCAGTGAAAATTCCATTTCATTTTATTACTTATTTCTAAAATTTTTAATTTATTTTATAGATTCCATTTCTCTTCTGAAATTTCCTACATTAAGGAATTAATAATTAATATATTTTAATTAATAATTTGAGCACATTTTTCTTTAAATATTTCAATATATTTGTAATAGCCACTTTGAAATATTTGGGTGCTAAGTTAAACATCTGTGCCATCTTGGATTTGGTTTTAACTGATTGTTATTCAGTCCCTTTATATATTTATTGATTCTTTATTGAAAACCTTGGATATTTGGATTATACAATGTAAAAACTCTGATTCAATATTAGCAGAAATTTTACTTAAAATGGATCACCTTGTACTTGCAAAGACTTGGTTTTATGACCTTGTGAAACTGAATTTGTGAAAAGGCCAAGGTCTTTCCCAAGTCCCTCTAACTTAGTGGAACTCAGCTTTCAAATTATGTCTGTCTTGTTAATCTTATTAAGCCTTTTTAAAGGCTTCATTTTGGTGGGTCTAAAGTAGGCACAGGCCTTTGGTTCTTATGGTTTCGAAACAAACCCATTGAAACCTAATGAGTCCAATCATGAGCACAATTCTCTCACAGTGCACGTGCTATTCTTTACCTTCTTTCCTTCTCTGGTTTAGCACTTTCTTGTCATTGCTTGCTTCCCATTATATTCTTTATTTTCTTCCTGCTCACTTAATTTTTTAAAGATCCTTTTAATATTTTACCTGGCATTTATGTATGTTCTGTACCAGAAATTTATTCCAAACATCTAGTCTGTTCTATTTTCAGAGAAGAAATTCTTATAATACAGTCTTTCTGTTTCTGAAAAATGGTGTTTCTTGCAATTGGGAAGAACCTTATGCAGATACAGAGCTTTAACAGAATAGTGGATATTCAGAAGAGAGAATTGGAATACATAAGTGAAACTGGAATTCAGTATTCTTGAGCTAAGTAAATTAGCAGATGGAAATAAAACAAAACAGAATCAACTGTATGAAAGTAGAGAAGGAGCTGGAGTCAGGCTCAAGTATACTCTGATAAGAATATGTACCCAAAAGAACCAGAAATGGTACGAAAACAGATCAAAAAGAGAAGGAGCCAAGACCCTGAGAATCATTGTGACCAATTTGTCTGCTAATTATTTGTAATACATATCTTATATTAAACTACAAAGCCAATCTGAAGTTTCCTTTATTTTACTCCCTTTTTGCAGTTTCTTGAATTATCCTTTCAGCAGTTACTCTCTTTTCAGACAGCTTATGTATATTTTCTATACATACCTATGATTTAGAAATAGCTGTAACTTTTTACTGATCTGAGGAAAGTTATTTAAACTCTTTGAACTTTGTTTTCCTTACCTATAAAATAGGAATAATAACTTTCTTAAAGGACAATTTAGGAGATTAATAAGAATTATTATCAATAAGAATAAATTAATAAGAAGCATGTAAAAATTACCACAGCCAATTATTTCTTTTGCAAATATTCTGCAAAAATAATAGATACCTCTATTATTATTTCCTTAGTAAAATTAAATTTAATTACATAGTATCTTCTTCTAAATAGCATATCCTGACTTGGAGAAAAACAGTAGACAAAATGGAACATTTAAAACAATTGTAACTCCTTAGCATTCCTTCCCGTTGCCTCTAGATTTGTGTTTAAAATTCTCTTTAATTTACAGTTTTAAGCTTAGATTATTTTTAGGTAACTGATTACCTACCATGGTTGAATCAAATGATTCTAGACCCAGGGAGATAGAAATCATGTAGTCCTGCACGTCTATTTTATAATGAAACTGATACAGAGAAAGAGGTTATGACTTGCTGAGTGGTTCCTACTTAAGGTGAAATACGCAAAACTAGGACCATTTCTCCTGACTCCTTTTTCAATGCGTTTTCCACTCCATAGGGCAGTTTCTACTTACTGAATCCTAGCATTCGTCCCGTGCAATGTGTTTCAATGTTAGAAGGTTCTATCTGTGATGGTAAGAGGTCCTAAAAATTACTGAGGGTTTTGAAGATTTTGGTGTAAATTGCTACCACTTCTATAAATATTCTCAGTGGGGTTTTTTTTGAGTGGTGAAAGAACAGCCAGCAAACTATCTTTGAGACCTGTTTAAATACTAAGAGGTGACAAGACAACAACAATGGCTTGTACACAAACTTTACCATTGTATTCTTTAACAGTAATAGCTTACGTTCTTAGACTATGAGGGGGAGTTAAACAGGGTTTGATCATTAAAGAAAACTCATAGGACCCAAAATGAAGTGCTTACAAATCTACAGTTTGCTGCATTATTGTTGAAGTAAGGATATGCGTGAAGTAAGAATATGCCTCTCAACAAGGGCACGGGTGCAAGCTTCAATTATTTCCCTTCTATAATGGTGTGCTGGATATATTCCTGGATCAGAAACCACTGGTGTGTGTACAGAGCATCTCAGAAACAGGGAGCCCATATGGAGTCTCACTTGGGATATCTGAAAAACTGGGATGTTTTTACTGATTATATAAAAACATTCCTGCTACATAACCCACCCCAAAACACAACCTCGCTATATAACCAACCCCCAAAAGACAACCTTGCTACAAAACCAATCCCAAAAGCACAACCTCAAAAGCACTTCACTGAGACTAGGTATAATTCACCAATCTCTCTGTTATCAATAAACAGTGCTAAGAAGCAGTATAAACCTCCCTGAAACTCTTTGGATCATGGTTGCTATCAATACTATTAATCGTATTTTCATATTTCTCATTTTAATTAAACAGATCAGGCTCATTCCTGACTTGTTGGAATTAACCTTCACAGCAACACCATCCACGTCTCTTATCTGTGCTCAAGGACTTGATATGACAAAACAATCACTCTAGTTTGACAGCAATTACTTGCCATATTGTGTAACTAGAATCCGTAAACAAAATCACATACCTATTCCAAACATTTGTAATAACCATCGAGGAGTTACATGGATTTAAACAGCAAATAGAATCAGAATCATATGATAATACCAGCACAAACTTTCTCACAGTTTTCTATTAACCTAAGTTTCTTGTTTCATCCTTGATCTATATATACCTGCACTTTAGGGTTTGCATCTGCTGAATGACTAATAATTATAATATATTTATCATTGATAAGGTTTAAATTTTTTTCAGACCACTTCCCTTTCGATGACATCCTGAAAGAGTTTTAATTCAATTTCTCAATACACTTGATCTTCAGTGTTAGTGTTCAAAGTATTACTAGGTTCCATAATATTAAATTTACATGGGATCTCTATTATTCTGTATAAGAGCATCATGGCATACTCTGAATATACGGTTGTAATGTAAACAAAATATTATTGCAATATAATTATTTTGTTTCTTCCATAAAATTTACCCCTTCCCATATATCATATATTATTTCTGATAGTAGGTTAAAGACCATGTGTTATGGGCTAAATTTTGTCCCCCCCAAATTAATATGTTGAAGCCCCAGTACCAAGAATGTGACTGTGTTTGGGGATAGGGCCTTCAAAGAGGTGATTAAGCTAAAATGAGGCTGTAGAGTGAGCAGTAATCCAATCTGACTGGCGTCCTCATAAGAAGAGGAAATGTGGATACACAAAGAGATACCAGGGATGCCTATGCACCAAGGAAAGACCATGTAAGGGACACAGGAAGAAGGCAGCCATGCTAACTAACATGCAAGCTCATTTCACTTGCTGGTTTGGGACATGTCATCTTAATGTTTGCTTTAATTGCAAGGTCCATTTTTGTCAGTGTTATATCATTCTAGTTGGTTTCCCATCTTCTGGAAGAAGATCATGAGCTATTTGACCCTCACAGATCTTCCCTAATTAAAAGCAAACTTCACCAGACAATTATTCCTATCCTTATTTCTAATTATTTAAAGCTCTTTTTTTTTCCACTGGCCAGTGCCATTTGATCCATTAAAACTGATGTTGCCATTAGGTACTAAACACTTCAGAATGTATAGGAAATAAATCTGGGAACAAAATTGTTGAATCTGCCAAGATAAGGTCACATTAGTAGTAGCCATGATTAACCACATTTTACGTTGTTGTCCACATCAAATCTCTGACATCTCATTTCCAGTTATTCAGGCTTACCAAGGTATACCTGGTTATTTTCCTTTGTCAGTGCTTCACAACTCATTGTTTCCTCCAGCTACTTTAGAGTTTCCACATACAATAAGGCAAATTGCTAGTTTCTCACATAATATTATGACAGATGGGACTTGCTACTGTCATTAAACCATAATCACAATTAATGGCCACATCATGTTCTTTTAGATTGTGAATTAACACACAGTGTTCTCCAGATTCAACTGGGAACACACATTTCCACACTTGCTTCAAAACACAGGTCCTTGATAATAGTTGTACTTTGGAAATGAGAGCTGAAAGAAATAACCACATTTGTATTGCTCCACATAGCCATAGACAGAGTAAGGGTATGGATCATTTCCAAAAACATGTTCATTAGGTTGACCATTGCTTAGCTAATTTCTTGGTTCTTTAAAAGAAGAAGAGGTTTTGACAAGGTACTTTACCCTAAGGCACTTTTCAACCTAAGTTGAGAAAGCTTATTATTCTCTTGCTCTAAGCCTTTATCTGGCTTATATGTTAGAATCCCTTGTATAAAACCCACTCATTGGCTCTCTTTCTTTCAGAAACAGTCACAACTTTCTTCTTTTGATAATTAATTTTAATCCAGCTTTCACTTCTGAAGTAGGTCCTTCTGGTTTGCCCTCTGGTGTATTTCATATTACTCGCATCAAGATGTACTGTGCCAGGGCTTTCACTTTATTCTCAATAGCAGGAAGTAAGAATAGATGAGTACAAAGAAATGGAACAGTCACTTCCAACTTGATGATATGTAGGTAAGAGATAAAACATTTCATAAATCTTTTTTGAATTCTTGCAGTTGTGTTCAACTTAATAGACATGAATTTTGTTTTGCAGTATTACCAGCTATTCGGATCTTTAGTGATAGTGTCAGCGCAAGGACTATTGGGCCTTTTTCATTGAAAAAGAAAACTAAGTTGAAGTACAAAGTATTTTTATGTCAGTTGCTGTGTCATTGTCCAGCCCTTCTTTCCTATTTCTACCACAAATATGTAATAATTTACCTAATGGAAACTCATGTTTAGTTTCATCAATTTATAATAAGTGGTAAACAGAATTCTGTTTGGAGACTAGCTCTTCAATTGTTTGGCAACCCCCATATTTTTAAGAAGGGGTTATATTTGTCCATTCCAATTTTCTATTAACCCATTACTTTGAGTGGCACCAAAAATATAAGTTTATTGAACATGATACTTCTTCATGCATAAGTGCTTCATGTGGGCAATGAAATTAACATATTGATCTGATGAAATCTAAGTAGAATGGCCAGACTATTTACAATATTCTTGTTCAACTTATTGGATAGTATTATCAACATTGATCTCAGTCACTGCTCATGCCAAACCAAATTCAGAGTATATTATTAAGAAACCTTGCCAATATTCATTTACATCCTTCAAAGAAGTAGAGAAAAAGCCAATGCAATCTACTTGACACCTGTTGCTAGACTTTTCTTGGAATTACTTCCTAGGGCGAGCTGCAAATTCTGTCTTTCTGATTAGCATACAGGGAAATTTTTATTAACAGTTTGTGCATTTTCAGGGGTTAGTGATATACATTGTCTGGCTCATCTCTTCATGGCCTGATTTCCCTCATGTGTACTCATTTCATGGAACTGGGTTGCCATTTTAAGACACAGATCTAGGACATGAACATTTTGATTCAATCACCATCAGATTTTGGTATAGGATTTCTTTGGTGAACAGTAACATATCCTTTTCAATTTGACCTCAAATTTTCCATAGGGATTTACATATAACAGTGTCCTACATGAGAGTCTCTTTTATCATGCAGGTAGCTATGGACCATTTTCCAGACTAAGTTGCAATTCTTTTTTTTTTTTTTTTTTGAGATGGAGTCTCGCTCTGTCGCCCAGCTGGAGGGCAGTGGCGCGATCTCGGCTCACTGCAAGCTCCGCCCACCTCCCGGGTTCATGCCATTCTCCTGCCTCAGCCTCCCGAGTAGCTGGGACTACAGGCGCCCGTCACCACGCCTGGCTAATTTTTTGTATTTTTAGTAGAGACAGGTTTCACCGTGTTAGCAGGGATGGTCTTGATCTCCTGACCTCGTGATCCACCCGCCTCAGCCTTCCAAAGTCCTGGTATTACAGGCGT
Source organism: Homo sapiens (assembly GCF_000001405.40). Lineage (NCBI taxonomy): Eukaryota > Metazoa > Chordata > Mammalia > Primates > Hominidae > Homo > Homo sapiens. The sequence continues at coordinate 83,235,544 of NC_000007.14, forward strand.
GAGCCACTGCGCCCAGCCAGTTGCAATTCTTTTGACAACATGCCATAACTTAGCACTATACATAATTAAATAGTGTGTGTGTCTGTTTGTGGTGGTGGGGGGTGTGTATGCAGATTTTTATCATTGCTGGAAACAGAAATTGTAATTCAGGCCACTAGGCTAACCAACTATGAACTTTCTCGATAAGGAGTTTATTGTTTGCTAAAAAGAGAGCAGTGGTAGCTTTCCGTAATGAGCTTTGTCCCCTGATTCTGGAACTGCTATCTGAACTAAGCCAACTGCCTGGCAACCTTGGCCGATTGGTCTAAAGGAAGGGCCCATTTACCAGCAGCAGTAGGTAACTCCTTAGGAAAAATCTAAATTAGGTACTGTCATTAGAGCTAAATTGGCTACTTGTTCGTAAATATAATGATATCTGTTATGGATTGAACGTTTGTGTCCCTTCCAAATATGTATGTTGAATCCCTAATCCCCAATGTCTTAGTTTGTGCCACTCTAAAAACACCTGAGATTGAGTGATTTATAAATAACATAAATTCATTTTCTCATCGTTCTGTAGGCTGAGAAGTTCAACATTAAAGCACAGGCAGATTCAGTGTCTGCTGAAGGCTTCTCTCTACTTCCAAGACGGTACCTTCTTGATATTCCCTAACATGGTAGAAAGGAGCAAAAAGGGATGAACACTGTGCTCTCATATGGCAGAAGAGATAGGCTACTTTCTGAAGCCCATAATTTATAATTTTATAAGGGCATTAATCTTACCCATGAGGGCAGAGCTCTCATTGTCTAATCACCTCCGAAAGTCCCCATCTCTTAATGCCATCAGCTTGGTGTTTAAGTTCCAACATATGAATTTTGGAGGGACACATACATTCAAACCATACAACCCAATGCCATGGTATTTAAAGATGGCGCCTTGGGAGGTAATTGGGATTAAGTTAGGTCATAACAGTAGGGCCCTCGTGATGGGATTAGTGGCTAAGAAAAGGAAGAGATAGAGAATGCTCTCTCTCTCTCTCTCTGCATTATGTCAGGACACAGTGAGAAAGCAATTGTCTACAAGACAAGAAAAGGGTTCTCACCAGAACTTGACCATGCTGACACCATGATCTTGGCCTTTCAGAGTCCTTGAGTGTACAAAAATAAATTTTAGTTGTTTATGGAACTCTATAATATTTTGTTATGGCAGCCTGAGGTAGCCGGTGCAACTTTCTATGATGCATCCCAACCATTGTTTCCTGCTCCTGTGTATATCTTCATATTATGATAAAACTTCTTTGATTGCCTTGTTGGAGTGCTTTTCTGGCATCATTCATGATATGGTGGGTATTTCAGGTCTTAATGTAATATCACATACTTCAGTTACTGGGGCTGTCTCAGTGCACAATAACTACTTCTAGAATGTTCTGTTACTTCAGCCTCAACATGCCCAGTTTGAACTCTTGTTCTTTTTCTTTCCTTCTTTCAAATGGGATGTATTTGAATGCTGTATACAATAATTTTCCAGTCCAGAAGCCCAGAGATTGCTGTTGAGCAGTGATTATTAGCTTTTGCCAGATATTCTAAATAGCATGAATCTGTGGCTGACACTTTAAATATAATTCTAGCATTATGATCATATAGCCTTAATAGAATGGCTTGAACTGCAGCTTCTTGTGGTTTAAGAAAGGTCTGGCTGTTGGGTGCCCAATCAAATTATACATACATGTGTTTTTCTTTTGAGGAAACTTTCTAGATGGGGGCTAGCAGAATGCTTAATAAGATACATGATTTCACCAAAAGCCAAATAGATTAACTAAGCATTGAGCCTTCCTTTTAGTCTGAGGGGTGAGGAGCAATAACAATTTAGGCCAAGGCTATATGGTATGTCATATATTGCTCCAGCCTATGTAATTACGCAAAACTCCATAGGCTGTGCAGTGTCTTGAGTTTTAGTAGGATTAAAGAATGATCCCCAGTCAGCCACATGATTTATGACTTTAGTATGGTCGTTGTTAGTTTGATCCTCAGTTTCAGAAATAATTATATTATCATCAACATATTATAGTAGAACAAAGTCAATTTGCATTGCATCTAAGCCCTGCCTTACCAGATTGTCATACTTTATAGGAAAGTTCAAATGCTCTTGAGGTTGTTAGTACAATAAATGCATATTGATAACTGTTTAACATGATTGAAAATGTTGTTGGCTCTCTTTGCTGACATATTAAGAATAACCCATCTGCCAAATTCAACTACAGAATACTAGTTACCTTTACCTTGTGTTAGTGAAATAGCACCATATCAAGGACTACTAAAGCTACTGAGAACACTGTTCTTTTAATCTTCCATAGTCAAGTGTCATTCTCCATCATACACCAACCTGCTTCACTGGCTGTGCTGGTCTATTGTATAGCAAGTTTGTAGGCATTGACACACTTGAATTCCACACTGCCTTAATTATTCTGGCAATTTATTGTTGCCTTCCACATATTCTGAGTTGCTTCAAATATATCACTCATATTGCTTAGGAACTGTAAAGGCACTCATGTTGCATTTCCAACTAATGCTGGATAGAGGGAAAATCTACAAGTTATTTTTTTATTCTCACACTATATCTATACCTTTTCATTATTATATCCAATTATTTATTGACATAAAAGAGATGCTACCACAGTATACTTTTTAAATCATAATTTCAACCTTTATTCAGATTTTCTTTTTTTTTGCTCTTTACAGAGTAGTAGACCAAAAAGAATTTCTTCTCTATCCACAGGCATTTCACCCAAGCTTTGTAAAAGGCCTCAAGTGTCCCAACAGGGACTGAGTCAAGAGACTGACTTTCATGTCAATCATGTCAATCTTCTTCCTATATCACCACATTAATATTTAAACATAGTATTTTCACATCTAATGCTAGAGGTTCAGCTGAACCTTTCCTTTGAACTTCTTCTGAGCTCAAATAAATCAATCATCTAGGTACCCTGGAATCTTCACATCCTGGAAAGTTTATAGAGAGGCAGTTGGGGGCACCTTCAGCTTCTATAAAATTCTATCAAGGCTTTGCTGGGTACTCCATCAATTTCTTTTTTTTTCATGCCATTTGAATGAGCCATTTCCAAACTTCTACACTTATTGCCTGAATTGTTGTCCCCATTCTTATTTTTTTTTCTGTTTATAAAGCCCTAACATTCAGGTATGTATTGGTGCATTTTCACACTACTGATAAAGACATACCCGAGATTGGGCAATTTACAAAACAAAGAGGTTTATTGGACTTACAATTCCATGTGGCTAGGGAGGGCTCACAATCATGCAGAAGGTGAAAGGCATGTCTCACATGGCAGCAGAAAAGAGTAGAGAACTTGTGCAGGGAAACTCCTTCTTAAAACCATCAGATCTCATGAGGCTTATGGTCCTACCATAAAGACCTGCCCCATGATTCAGTTACTTCCCACCGGACCCCTCACACAACAGGTGGAAATTCAAGATGAGATTTGGGTGGGGACATAGCCAAACCATATCGAGGTTTTATGTGAGATAGCTGGGATAAAAGTTCTGAAACTACCTCTTTATATACTCCTGAGGATCCAACAACAAAGTCATACAGACTGCCCATGCTGGCAGGTTTTCTTTTAATACAGTAGCAGTTACTACATAGGTAAGTGGAATATCATCAGTGAGGTTGCTTTTGTTGTCATACAGACACTCCAATATTGCTTGTATCCAAATCATCACCATAAAGAGAGCAGCCACTTGAGTATGCATGTGAGCTCAAACATTCTTCTCTAATCTGAGTTGTTCAATGCCATAGACAAAGCTCTTTGATCTAAAGTTTTCAAGAGTCATTTTAACAAGGGCTCATCAGAGAATTTCTTCTAATGATCTGCAGTTACTTGATTTCTTCAGTATACTACTTTTTACTTTCATGACTTTTTTCCTTTTATTATCAACTTGCCCAATTTTAACTACTATTTTAATTGTAACTGGTCTCATAGGTGTAGCCAATTTATCAAATGTTGTAGTTGCCCAAGTTTCTATGGTTGGAGCTCCTCTTGCCTGAGGTCAAAGCTCAACTGAAAGATTTTCTTTGGCTAGTCCTGAAAGCAGTACCTAATGAACTAAATTTTTAGCTAATCTGCTATCAGCTTGAAGTTCCTCTTAATCCATTTTCATAGCTCCTGATGTTCAGATTCTACCATTTTTACATTCCATGGAAAGTATTATTATCAATACTGATTCCAAACTTGTATTAGGCAACTACGCAACATCAATGGTTCATTTTAACACATTTAAAGAATCATTTTTTATTTCTGAATAATAGTTTAATCATATTATTGGTTAACAGTGAGTAAATGATCTTTTAATAAATCCCACTTTGACACCATCTTTACTAACTGGACAGTATTCAATTGCTAAATAAGACTCACAATACTCAACATGCAATACTTACAAAATTATAATTTACTACTGGAAATGTATATCATTCAGCAGCAGCATTAAAGCAAGGATATGATTGATAACCAATGGCTGCCTCACAGCAATTAATCTAGAAAGGCCAAGTTCCAATCCACAGGTGCAAGTTCCACCTGACTTCCATTTGTAAAGGTCATGCTAGATGAACTTTCTCTCTGAAGTCAGGAACCACTGGCAAATATACGGAAACCTCAGAAATCAGGGAGTGTAAATGGAGCTTCAACCAGGGTTACACATTCCCTGCTAATCCTACTGGCATATTCTTGCTATGTGATCAGCTCCAATCACAGAGCCCTTAAAAGATCTCACTGAGACAAGTTGCAAGTCTTTAATCCTGACAAGCTGATATGGACTGTCCCCAAACTTCTCAGACGCATGATTACAAAGCAACACTCATAATCAGTATGATTTATGCTTTGACCATAGTTCAGTGCTCAGTACATTCTTATTTCAGTAAAACATATCAGGCTAATTTCAATCCTACTAAAATTAACCCTCACAGTCCAACTCATGTTAATATCTTCTTCCAATATCTTAATCTAATAATCATAAATTATAATATATTACATTGCCCTGAAAACTTTCTTGGCATAATATAGAGATAAGCTCAATTAATAAAAATCTGTATTTAATAATAATTTAGGTATTGGTATATGTACATATATGTATGAATGTATAATTATTTTTAAATGCTCTTTTCACCATATGATGCCTATTTCAAATTGTCTGTGTGTTTATCATCTCACTTATCATGAATTAAGATATGGAGTCTTTCCCTTAGCAACTCATCATCAATAGAGCATACTCATCCTGCTTTAAACTTGTTGGATGCTTTACTGTGGAGAGCTCTTTCCATCAATTTTCTGTTTTTCGGGATCCATGGTTACTTGGCATTTGCTATCTATCCTCATCTTTCATGTTTCCCTGAAAGATTTACTGAAAAACCTTAATACATATACAAAACACTTACGTAATTTGCTAAGAAAATATTTACTCCTTTGAATGTCCCCTATTCTAATGCCTTCTTTTCTTCACAAGCAATATAGTTACTTCTATCCTTTTATCTCTCGTCTTCCATGAATATCCAGTCCCTGACAACATTTCACTTGTTAAGTATGCCTGTTTATTGTCAGGTTACAAACATTTTAGAAACGTTTAGAACATTTTGAAAACTGAACAAATTACACAGTTTCCATCACATACACTCACTTTTAATATTTCAATAGTCCATCTCAGTTTCCTTTTTTGTGAATTTCTTTGTTATTATCTGCATTATGTACCAATCCCTGAACTAGCAACTGTGGCAACCAAGGCCAGGCAATTCCATTATGTGACTGTTCTATGTCTATCACATTCAAATTGCAGGAAGTGGTTATCCACCATTTCCAAATATACATTTTGTTATCATAAAAAGGAAAAAGAAGAGTATGCTAGAGAGCAAAAATCATAGTTACCATGACTCCGTACACATAGCAAGATTGTAGTAAAGAGAGATGTAGAAGTAGGAAGCTAGGCATGCTCATAGCAGGAAGCTGCTCAAATAAGTGAGTATTGGAGATTTTGTTTGTTTGTTTTTAATCCCCTAAGTACTAGGCTGAAACAGCAATTTTCTAGGTTTGACTTAATCTTCCTCTGAATTCAATTCCAAAAGAATAATATCTTTTAAGTTTGTTACCCAATAAATAAAAAATCCTAAAATAAAAATTCAGCATTTTTTTAAAAACTAAAAGAATGATACAGGACATGCCTTGAATTATAGATGTGACTGCCTTCTCAGCCATCTTTAACTCCTTACTACATAAAGGACACAAAGTGGAAGCCTAATGGAAAAAGAGTCCAAAATGAGGATGAGAGTGTGGGGATGGTGAGAGGAGAAAAATAGAGTATCTTATTTAATTATTTGAAATGCATGTTCATTATCTTTTACTAACTTTTCTCATGACTCACTGAAGGATATGAGATGAATTTAAACATGTTAAACCCGTTATAATATGCTCTACAATTAATCTTATTATTTAAGAAGGTGAATATTTAACTAGAGCCATTAGACTTACAAAATAGAGAGGAAGCAAGAAAAAAATGCACAAGTTTTAAAGCAAGAGTTACAATCTACTGAAGGCTTATAGGTAGGTATATATTTTATATGAGCTTTACTAATTTTTTTGTTTTTTCATTTTTTTTAATTGTGGAAAAATACACATTACATAACATTTGCCATCTTAGTCTTTTTAAAGTTATAGGTTAGTAGTAGTAAATACATTCATAATATTGCGCATTCATCATCACCATCCATATCTTTTCATCTTGTATAACTGAAACTCTTACCCAATAGCAATAAATTGTCATTACTTTCTCCCTCTAGACCCTGGCAACCAGAATTCTATTTTCTGTCTCTATGATTTTGACTACACTACCTACTTCATAAATGGAATCATGCAGCATTTTTTTTTTTTTGGTGTGTGACTAGCTTATTTTACCTAGCATAATATCTTTAAGATTCATTTATGTCATAATTTCCTTCCTTTTTAATGCTGAATAATATTCCATTAGAGGTGTATATCACATTTTGTCTATCCATTTACACCAAAGGATACTTTGGTTGGCTCCATATTTTAGCTACTGTGAATAATGCTGCTGTGAACATGGTGTATAAATATCTTTTCAAGACCCTATTTTAAAATTCCTTTAGGTATAAATCTGGAAGTGAATTACTGGATCATATGGTAATGTTATTTTCAATGTTTTAAAGAACTTCTATACTGCTTTTTACAATGGCTCTACTATTTCACATTTTACACAAGTGTTCTAATATCTCCACTTCCTCTGGAAAACTTATTATCTTTTTTTATAGTTACCATCCTAATGGGTGTGAGGTGATGTTTTATTGTTGTTTTCACTTGAACTTACTAATGATTAGTGATGCTGAGCATATTTCCGTGTACTTATTTGCAATTTGTATGCCTTATTTGGAGGAGAAATTTCTATTCAACTTTTTTGCCCATTTTGAAACATATTTTTTGTTGTTGAGTTTATGTTTTCTATCTATATATTCAGGATAGCAATCTCTTAGCAGATATATGATTTAGAAATGTTCTATCACATTATGTGGGTTGTCGTTTTACTCTGTTGCTGTTGTCTTTCTAAAAAAGTACATTTTATTGTATATACTTAAGGTGTACAGATTTGTCTTGCACACTGTATTTTTACGAAAATCCAATTTGTCTATTTTTTCTTTGGTTGTCTATGCGTTTAGTGTTAGATGATCCAATAAACCATTGCCATATCCAGTGTCATAAAGGTTTTGCCTTATGTTATCTTCTAAGAGTTATATAGTTTTATGTCTTACATTTAGATCTTCGATGCATTTTGAGGTAATTTTTTGCATATGGTATTAGGTAAGGGTTCAACTTTATTCTTTCGCATGTGCATATCCAATTTTACTAGTATCGTTTGTTGAAAAGACTGACTCTCCTTTCCCACTGAATGGTCTTGACACCCTTGCAAAAATCATTTGAAAACAGATGTGAGGGTTTCTTTCTGGGCTCTCTATTGTATTCCGTTGGTATATATGTCTATCTTTATGCACTTATCACACAGTTTGATTACCGTAACTTTGCGGTAAGTTTTCAAAATCAAGACGTGTGCATTCTTCAGCCTGTGCTTTTTCAAGATTATTTCAGATATTCAGGGTCCATTGAGATTCCATATAAATTTTAAGATAGATTTTTCTATAGCTGCAAAAAGCATATTTAGAATTTGATATTTTTATAGAGATGCATTAAATGTATAGATTTCTTTGAGTCATATTTGCATTGTAACAATATGAAGTCTTTTAATCCATGAACATGAGATGTGTTTCCATTTATTTATAAGTTCTTTAATTTTTTTCAGTAACGTTTTGTAGTTTTCAATTTACAAATCTTTCACATCCTTTGTTAATTCCAAAGTATTTTATTCCTTTTAATACTATTATAAATAGAATTATTTTTATCATTTCTTTTTCAGATTGGTTATTGTTAATGTGTAGAAACACAATTGATTTTCCTGTGTTGATTTTGTATCCTACTACTTAGGTGAATTCATTTATTAGTTCCAATAGCTTTTTTTTTTCATAGAATCTTTAGGGTATTCTACATGTAAGAATAGAGATCATTTTTCTTTTTTCTCTTCTATATGTCTTTTATTTCTTTTTCTTGCCTAGTTGCTCTGGTTAGAACTTCCAGTACTATATTGAAAATAAGAGATAAAAGCATGCACCGTTGCTTTGGTCCCAATACAGCAGAAAAGCTTTTAGTCTTTCACTGTCAACATTTTTTGTGTGTTGCTTATATATAGCTTTTATTATGTTAAAGTAGATTCCTTTTATTTCTATGTTACTTAATGTTTTTGTTGTGAAAAAGTGTTGAATTTTGACAAATGTTTTTTCTATGTCAACTGAGATGACCATGTGGGATTTTTTTCCCTTCGTTCTCTTAATGTGGTATACTACATTCATTGATTTTTATATGTTAAATCATTCTTGCATTCCATGAATTAATCCCACTTGGTCATGGTATATAATCCTTTTAGTATGCTGCTGAATCCAATTTACTAATACTTTGTTGAGGATTTCTGCATCAAAGTTCATAAGAAACACTGGCCTGGAGTTTTCCTTTTTTGTATCTTTTACTATGTTATCAAGATAATGTTGGCCTCACAAAATGAACTTGGAAGAGTTCTTTCTTCCCCAAGTTTTTGGGAAAAGTTTGAGAAGAATTGGTATTAATTCTTCTTTAAATGTTTGATATAATTCAACAGTGAAGCCATCAGGTCTAGATCTTTGGGTATTTTTGTCACAAAATTACATTTTTATACATTGTGTACCCCAAACCATAAACTAATAATTTTTTAAAAGTATTAATCTCAAATCATATAGAAAACAAAATATAGTGTTATGAACTAAGTTGCAATAATACTTTCTTTTAGACAAACAATAATTGTTTGCCCTCATCAGTTTCTGATGGGAAATCTGCTGATAATCTTACTGAATGTCCCTTGTGTGTGATGAGGCCCTTATCATTTGCTGCTTGCAACATTTTGTCTTAGGTGTTCAAAAGATTGATGATAATGAGTCTCGGAGAGGGTATCTTTGAGTTCGTCTTATTTAGAGTTCCTTAAGCTTCTTGAAGGTTTATATTCATATCTTTCATCAAATTCAGCTAATTTTCACTCCTTTCTTTAAATATTCTCTCTGCTTTTTGATCTCTTTCTTCTCCTTCTATGTTATTGGTTCGCTTGATAGTGTCCCAAAGGTCCTGTAGGCTCTGTTTACTTTTCTTTATTCTTTTTTTTAACTCTGTTCCTCAGACTTAATAATTTCCATTGTTCTATCTTCAAGTTTGATGATTTTTGCCTTCTGCTTGCTTAAATCTGCCTTTAAATCCCTCTTTTTTATTTTTGGAGACAGAGTCTCCCTCTGTCACCCAGGCTGGAGTGCAGTGGTGTGATCTCAGCTCACTGAAGCCTTTGCCTCCCAGGTTCAAGCGATTCTCATGCCGCATCCTCCTGAGTAGCACCACCACACCTGGCTAATTTTGTGTATTTTTAGAAGAGACAGGGTTTCACCATGTTGGCCAGGCTGGTCTCGAACTCCCGACCTCAGGGGATCCACCTGCCTCAGCATCCCAAAGTGCTGGGATTACAGGTGTGGGCCACCATGCCTGGCCTAAAAAGTCCTCTTGTACATTTTTCATTTCATCTGTTATTGTATTTTTCATCTCCAGATTTTTTTTAGGTTTTCTCTTTATTGATATTTTATTTTGTTCACACATAATTTTTTTTACTTTCTCCACAACTTACTTTAGTTCTTTCAGTATCTTTAAGTTATTTATATTAAAGTTGTTGTCTAATAGATCTGCCAACAGCTTTTTGTTTCAGGGATAGTTTTGAACGATTCATTTTTTTTCCCCTTTGAATGGGCCATACTTTCCTACTTCTTTGTATGCCTTATACGTTTTATTGTTGTTGTTGTTGAAAACTGAATGCTTGAATCTAGTAATGTGATAACTTTGGAAATCAGATTCTCCCTCTTCCCCTGGTTTTCCTGAGTTTTGTTATTTTTGTTTCTTTCTTTATTGTTGTAGGTTGTCTTTGTGGCAAAGATCAACCAGAGGTACAAACCTAAGGTCTTCTTAGTTCTTTTCTGAACCTGTGCATTTCCCTGGGCTTGAGACATCACTTTCTATATTTCTCTGTGTATGCAATTGTTTTTGAATATTCTAGTCTTTAATATCTGGCTCCCAAAAGAGGAAAACAGGAAAAATAAAGAGTAGAGAAGAAAAGTATGCCAGCAGCCATCTAAATCTGTTGGAAGTCACTTCAATCAGCAGGGGATAGGCTTTCAGAAATGGGGGTGAATGCTACAACAATGACTAACCATCTCTTTGTCTAAACTTGTGTGATTAGAAACAGCAACGAATGATAAGAGCACAGATCACTAATATTTGGAACACAGTTTTTGTTTTTGTTTTGTTTTGCTTTTCCCACTCTGGCTTCCATAACACATGCACAGATGCACACTGTGGGGCTGAGGTTGGGTGGTAAGCAACTGCTACTGTGCTAGAACTCTAATTGACTGAAATTAATCACAATTTGAAGTCTAAATTTACCTTTGAAAGTTGAAAGTCTTCAATAGACACCAGAATTCACAAAAAAAGTTACATCAGCTAGACTCTGACAGTGCAATTGCTATTTAGATGATGAGACAGATTCTTGGTGCTTTTTATTCTGCTACCTTCCCAGAATTCTCTTCTCCATTAATATTTCTATTTGATATATATCCACAATACTGATTTCAGAAGTCATACAGAATGTTATCTGACTTGCTTACAAATTAATATTTCCAAACGATTCCTGGCCAGTTATGACTCAAAGATGTTTGAATATCATAGCCTTTCAGAGAAGCTTAAATAGGTACTTAAGTATATTTGTACTACAATTGGCAGAAATCACCTACATTATTAATTCAATCATCTTTTTCATTTCCTATTAAACATTTCCCAAATCAAGCTGAAGAAACATGAGAGACTGTGGTTTGAGTCTCTTCAAATCCTTTAGTCTCTAATGGGAACACATATTTTACAATATTTTTTAAAAAAATAAATATAATGCAAACCTATTCATTATTTAGGAATTCAAACTATAGAAGTTCATATTCACTTCAAATTGTTAACATAGGTAGGCAATCAAATATGTAAGTTTATGTGTAATTTTAAGGTACATATATACTTAACTATATGTACATATAAACATGTAAGATACATTTATTACATATGCATATAATTTAGAAGTCTATTCTTTCAGAAATCTTATCTATACCTAATGAATTTAAAAGATATTTATTGCATCTTTTTTCTAATTATTTTTATATTGTATTGTTTTATATTACAAAATTTATAAAATATTTAATATTACATTTTAATGAAAGATGACATGGGTATTATCATGCTTGATATATACAGATGATCTCACTTATAATGGAGTTATATCCTGATAAACCCATTGTAAAGCTGCAAAATCATAAGTCAAAACATTATAAGTTGGGAACCAACTGTCGTTTACTTTGGATAAGAAATTAAGTTACAATTAAATATTATACTTTGTATCTTTGCCTGATAATTGCTTTTCATTCATTCGTTAATCATAGACATCCTCTGATGTTGGTTGAGGTGATGGAAACTCAAACAAGATAGAATAAAATACAGCTAGTATTGAAAACCCAATAAATATATTTAAGCATTTTAAAGCTTTATTCTAAGTTAATCATATGAATATAAATATCAGACCATTCTAAAATATATTTATTTTAATAATTTAAAAATAACTTCAAATTTTATTGATATTGATAACCCTTCCACATCATTCAGATTCATGGTTATTATCAATATCAAAAAATATGTATTAGAATGTACAGCTTTCTAGAAGATATATTTGTTTATATGTGAACGGGGGAAATATCTATTCTCCATTGATTTGCTCTCCTTTCCTTCTGTTTTACTCATTTGCCCCTTATGTTTGGAATACCCTAATCTCCCTGTAATGAATTGAATTGTGTTCTCCCAAAATGCATACGTCAAAGTCCCAACCTCCAGTACTTCACTGTGTAACTGTATTTAGAGAAAAGGTCTTTAAAAAGTGATTAAGTTAAAATGCAGCCACATGATGACTCAGCAAGACGGCAGCCATCTGCAAGTCAGGAGAGACCTCAGAAGAAATCACACCTGCCAACACTTTGATCTTGGACTTCTAGCCTCCAAAAATGTAAAAAAACCCGTCAATTTTGCTGTTAATGCCATGTGCATTATTTTGTTGTGGCTGCCCTAACAAGCTTACACCCATCACTTGCCCCATCTCATTATGTTCAAGTTTTGTTTGTTTGCTTGTTTGTTTTTTGAGAGAGAGTTTTGCTCTTGCTACCCAGGTTAGAGTGCAATGGCTCAATCTTGGCTCACTGCAACCTCCGCCTCCCCAGTTCAAGCAATTCTCCTGCCTCAGCCTCCTGAGTAACTGGGATTACAGGCACCTGCAACTATGCCTGGCTAATTTTTTGTATTTTTAGTAGAGACAGGGTTTCACCATGTTGGTCAGGCTGGTATCGAACTCGTGACCTCAGGTGATCCACCAACCTCAACCTCCTAAAGTGCTGAGATTACAGACATGAGTCACCATGCCTGGCCTGTTCAAGTTTTATCTATCTAGCAAGAGTCTATGAAATGCTACATATTCCACAATATGCTATTTATTCCTTTCCTCCCATACCCATTTTGAGTAACCACTCCATCTTCTTAATTCACGGTGTACCTTGTCACTTTTATCTCTAATGGCAAACGTAGCTCTTTGAAATCATGTCCATTTGTGAATCTAACAAAATGCTTAAAATACTTTCTTGATTCATCAATACATGCTAAATGAACAAATGGAGAGGTATGTGATGGGGGAGCACGAGTGGGTAACAGAATCAAAGGAAGAGTTCCTGAGATATGAGACAGAATGATAGAAGTTGAACGTGCAGAATGATTTCAGGATGGATAAAAGCATAGTTGTAACTCCTGGCAAAGGGCTCTCATTTTAGTAAGACAAAAATGGATATTGTTAGTAAAGGTGGTAAGGGTAAGTCTAGGAATTTGAAGGGAGAATTGAAGCAATACACATTCTATAATTTATAAAATTTGCAATTTGTTATCTAGAAAAATATCAGCACCTCTGTACTTAGTAATAAAAGCAGGAATATCTATATAGTCCCTTTGTAGGGTCACAGCAAGCCAGATATTCAGAGCCTAAATCCAGGCTTCAAGAAAAGCCAGGCCCATGGGCTTTGGTGCAGTTACGTGTTTGGACAGCTTTGTGAGCCCTGAGTACTGAGGACTAGAGAAAGGGAAGAAGCACACAGTTCATGAAAGGGATTAGAAAGTGAAAAAACAAAACAAAACAAAACAAAACAAAACAAAACAAAACAAAACAAAAAAAACAACATAATTTTTTTGAGGCAAGAACTCCACTGGAGATTATATAAAAGGATATGATCTTAATTTGGCATTCCACTTTACTCTAGCAGCATCTGAGTTCAAGGACTAAATAACTTGAGAGATGTTGAAAGTAAGAAAGGACACTATTTAAACATCATTAGTATAGAGTCTTACTTTTATAACTATCTTTTGCTTTTTTTCACAACATAGGGAGCTTTAGAGAAATAAAGTAAAAAGGCAAATGAGACCCTCTGAACTCAACCCACAGAAAGGATTTAAATGTAGACCCTCTATAACAGCAAAGGTCTGTGTAAGCATTGTGAAATCCAGGTGGGGCATGATCAGCTGTAAGGTGTATCAGAAGTCATGGAATATTACAAAGCATGTGCTTAAAAAATTAAAAATTTGATTTTAAAACTGCTATTCTCATTTGTTTATATTTATACATGCTTCCTTTAGTGGGAAAAATAGATAGAATTAGAATACTGCTTCTCAAATCATGGTCTAAAGATCCTTGAGGTCCTCAAGCCTTCTTGAGTTTGTGAGGCTCTCTCTTTTCTAAATTCGTATCAGTATGAGGCTGGACTTCGTTTCTTATACTACAAATATACAACATATTATGACATGTGGAATGCAGAAGCAGCATTCAGTTCTCATATAATTTTTTTTGTTTTGTTTTGGAAAACATTTTTTCACCAAAACATGAAAACAAATTAATAAGTATGTTTTAAATCCTATTTTTCAATTTGTAATATGGTAAATATCAATAATATAATTTACATAAACCAAAGTTCTTTGAGCTCCTCAATAACTGTTTTTATATTTATGGGGTACATAAGATATTTTGCTACAGCCATACAATGTGCAATAACCACATCAAAGTAAATGGGTCATCCATTACCTCAAGCATTTATCCTTTCTTTGAGTTACAAACAATCCAATTATATCCTGTTAGTTTTTTAGTGTTTTTTTTTTTGAAGGGTCTCACTTTGTTGCCTATGCTGGAATGCAATGACATGATCCTACATCACTGCAACCTCAGACTCTTGGGCTTAAGTGACTCTCCCACCTCAGCCCCCCAAAGTAGCTGGAACTACTGTGAGCCACCTCGTCCAGCTCATTTTTCTTTTTTGCAGAGACAGGGTCTCACTCTGTTGACCAGGCTGATCTCAAACTCTTGACCTCACGTGATCCTCTCACCTTGACCTCCCAAAGTACTGGGAGTATAGGTGTAAGCCACTATGCCCAGCCGTCTTTTTGTTATTTTAAGATGTACAATAAAATATCATTGACCGCAGTCACCCCGTTGTGCTATCAAATACTAGATCTTATTATCTAATTATATTTTTGTACCCATGAATGATTCCTCCCTCCCCCATCCCCACCCACTACCATTCCCTTTAATGCACTTTTTTAGAGCAGTTTCAGGTTCAGAGCAAAATTGAGCCAAAGATACAGCAATTCCCCATATACCCACACATACATAGCCTCTCACCTTATCAATATCACCAACCAGAGAAATATATTTGTTACGCTTGATAAACCTATACTGACGCATCATTATCCTCTAAAGTCTATAGTTTACATTTGGGTTCACTCAGTGTTGTGCACTCTATGGGTTTTGACAAATGGAAAATGAAATGTATACACCCTCATAGTATCATACAGAGAACTTTCACTACCTTAAAAATTCTCGGTATTCCACCTATTTATTCCCCTTCCCCCTAACCCCTGGCAATCCTTGATTTATTATCTCTACAGTTTTGTCTTTTCCAGAGTGTCATAGAGTTGGGGAATTGTACAGTATGTAGCCTTCTCAGACTGGCTTCTGTCACTTAGAAATATACATTTAAGTTTCCTCCATGTTTTTTCATGGCTTAATAGTTCATTTTAGTGCTAGATAATACTCCATTGTCTGGATGTGCCACAGTTTACTAATATAATCACATACAGAAGGACATCTTGGTTGCAAGTTTTGGCAATTATGAATAAAGCTTTTATAAATATCTGTGTGCAAGTTTGTTTGTAGATATAGGTTTTTGATTCACTTGAGTACACTCCTTTGCTTAAGTCTTTGTCCCCTGAGAATAGTGTTGGTGTAAAACAGACCATTAAGAATTATTTGTTAATTGAAACAAAATCTACACCAAACTAAGAAAGTACCTACAGAAGCTATCTAGAGAATATAAATTGGTGGCTGGTGAAAGAGCACTAAATTCAAAAGCTTATGTAGATACCCATGTTTTTCTCACTATCAAGATACATCTATGTATGTATATATATACATATGTTTATATATGTATAATATACCTATTGAACACATCCTTCTCACTATCAAGATACATACATATACACATATGTATGGATAGATGGTTATATACATATATATCTACATACACATATGTATGTATGGATAGATGGATACATACATATATATCTAGCCATCCATACACATGTATATGTATGTATCTTGATAGGGAGAAAGACGTGCAATATATAGAGATAGATAGTGAGAAAGACACATGAAATAGGTAAATTGACAATTTAAATACTTAGGCCAGGTGCAGTGGCTCACGCCTGTAATCCCAACACTTCGGGAGGCCGAGGTGGGCGGATCACAAGGTCAAGAGTTTGAGGCAAATATGGTGAAACCCCGTCTCTGCTAAAAATACAAAAATTAGCTGGGTGTGGTGGCACGCGCCTGTAGTCCCAGCTACTCGGGAGGCTGAGGCAGTAGAACCGCTTGAACCCGGGAGGCGAAGGTTGCAGTGAGCCAAGATCATGCCACTGCACTCTGGCCTGGGTGAGACTCTGTCAAAAAAAAGTTGTTAACTCACCTGTTTCTGTTTTTACCAACTAAAAATGTCACACAGTCCTTTATAATGTACATACAGAAGACACCAAGTAACCATTGGTTATATGCAGCATTGTATTTTTCATTAAAAAATAGTGGAATGTGGGCTGGGTGCCGTGGCTTACGCTTGTAATCCCAGCACTTTGAGAGGCCAAGGCGGGAGGATCACGAGGTCAGGAGTTCGGGACCAGCCTGGCCAACATGGTGAAAACCCATCTCTACTAAAAATACAAAAAATTAGCTGGGTGTGGTGGTGCGCACCTATAATCCCAGCTACTTGGGAGGCTGAGGCAGGAGACTCACTTGAACCCAGAAGGCAGAGGTTGCGATGAGCGGAGATCGTGCCGTTGCACTCCAGCCTGGGTGACAGAGCAAGGCTCCGTCTCAAAATAAATGAATAAAATAAAATAAAATAAAATATAAAAAATAGTGAGATGCATATTTGCAAATCCATTTTTTATAAACAGATTTTTTTAAATTTCATATTTGTTTTAAGTTTTTTCACCACAATACTTATCTATTAATGTCACAAAAGAAAAATAAAGGCTAAACAACACTGCAAAAAGTCTAATACTGCTTTGGTAATATTTTATGGGGCTTTTGTTGATGTTTTTGCTTTTGCTGTTGTTTTGTCTTTTTTGCCCCCAGAGAATCTAGCAGTCAACTTGACCTCACTTCATGGTTAATAAATCATCTGTTGTTAAATTTCAGACATAAAAGCACAGCCTCACTACCTTTTTAAAAAGCTTATAAATGGTTTCTCAAAAGAATTAAGAAAACCTTTAATACATCAAAACAATGAGATTATAGACATGAAACTACACTCTCTGCAGCTTTTCAAAAACAGAGTCCTAATGGAAAATAGACTATGAATGTTCAAGAAATTACACTCCTCTGAGTGTGTGTGTGAAATATACTCCATGGAAAAAATTTATTGGAAGCTCTCTTATGAGAGAAATAAGATGATCGAAAAATAAATCCTCCAAGAAGTAACTACTTTTTATTATTTCTGATTAAAATTCATTCTTAAAAACAAAAGTCTTCGAAAGAAGTTTTCTCAATTATTTACCTCCTTTTATTCTGAATCTACAATTCTGTGGCAATTTATTAGGTAAATTCTGTTTAATCAGAAAACCTACAAGTGATTCTTATATGTATTTAAGTATTCTCCTCCAGATATATGTGAACCATCTTGTAGCCTTTGGCAAAGTTTACTACTGGCTTGTAATAATAATAATCAGACTCTATATGGATATATATTTCCCAAGTCAAACATCAGGGCAAAAAAACAGTGTTATTCAGAGCAACTGACCTGTGCATGCACATCAATTCTTAAAATGAAAATTAAAGAAACATTGTTATTTCCGTAAAGCTTTGCTGGAAGTAATTGATTCATATGTATAAAACATCAAATCTATTGGGAGTCCGAGGCGGGCGGATCACAAGGTCAGGAGTTCGAGACCATCCTGCCAAACACGGCTAAACCCCATCTGTACTAAAAATACAAAAAAATTAGCCGGGCGTGGTGGCGGTCGCCTGTATCCCAGCTACTCGGGAGGTTGAGGCAGGAGAATGGCATGAACCCAGGAGGCAGAGCTTGAAGTGAGCTGAGACAGCGCCACTGCACTCCAGCCTGGACGACAGAGCGAGACTCCGTCTCAAAAAAAAAAAAAAAAAAATCAAATCTAAAAAGTGTTCTTCATTATGTTTTGGTTCACAATTCATTAGTAATTAAATGGAATGAAGGAATATATCAATGCAGGAAAAGTTATGGCTCTGTATGTTTTAGGTAATTCCTAAATTTATCCACAAGGCAAAACACTACTTATCTAAGTCTATGTATTGAAAGCAGTTACATTTTTTTCTTTCATTGGCAGTGGTTTTATCTGGAGAGTAAATATAATGAGCAATATCATATTATATTTTATTCTATTTTCTTTCACTGTAAATGTTTCGAAGACATTGTTATTATTACTGTATTATTTTATTTTTTCTCTATTCCAGGAGGTAGCCAGATTTTTTGTGTGTGTGGAGTTGAAAAAAGAAGCTTTTGAAGATAACTTTCTCATAGAAATCTTCTATCTTTCATAAAAGCTTAAACTCACTGAGAAGTTTAGACTTGGTCACCGATGCTCAAAACATATCTGGAGACTCCTGGGGATCCATGAGATCATTGTAGGGGTCCACAAGGTCATAATAATTTCTTTTTAATAACTAAAATTATATAATTGTGTTGACAATAAACAGAAAGTGCTCTTGCATACTTTTGTACTCTAAAAGTTTCTTCTTTCATTTCTAATATGATAAATCTTTGATATACTCAATAGAATTTAAGAAAGTAATTTTTTTTTTTTTTTTTTTTTTTGAGACGGAGTCTGGCTCTGTCGCCCAGGCTGGAGTGCAGTGGTGCGATCTCGGCTCACTGCAAGCTCCGTCTCCCGAGTTCACACCATTCTCCTGCCTCAGCCTCCCGAGTAGCTGGGACTACAGGCACCCGCCACTGCGCCCGGCTAATTTTTTGTACATTTAGTAGAGACGCGGTTTCACCATGTTAGCCAGGATGGTCTCGATCTCCTGACCTCGTGATCCACCCGCCTCGGCCTCCCAAAGTGCTGGGATTACAGGCGTGAGCCACCGCGCCCGGCCTGAAAGTAATTTTTAAAAAGTTTTACAATTGCAGCTTTAAGTAATCTAGAAGGGGAAGGATGAAATTGGAGTGCATTTTTAGGGCTGAGCAGGGTCATGTTGAGAAAGAGGAAGTAAATTTTCCACCATTGCAAAGTAGCAGAGATCAGTTTCACCCAATTTCCTGGCAATTATTTTTCGTCTGGGAGGTGGCAAGATCAAAAGAGGCTGAACACTAAGCCCTAAGTACTCCAGCTCTACTAAGATCACTTAGCAACCCCAAGTTGGTAAGGCACTGCAACTTGGTAATGATGTAGCTGAATTGCCTGCCTTCACGGAAATAGGTGGACTTGAGTAATTAGGATACACCAGTGGCAATCATGATGTACTAAAGCATAGAAAGTTCTCTCTCTTTTACAGTTAACTTGTGTAATCGCTTGTTTGTCCAATCTCTCTTTGGGGAAATCTTTCCTCTGAGTCGTCTAATTTTGGCATGAAGAAGATTCCAGGTGCCTGGCCCTCATTATAGACGCAAGATACCTTTTCTTTTCATACCTTGGCCTAACCAGAAGGCTGGCATGAGACTAAAATATGACAACCAGATGCTCTCTCCTGGGATTGCAAATTTTGAGCCAGTAACACCAGGATGGAAAGAAAGTTTGGAGAATATTCATCATAGTGACTCTGATGGCAGTAGCAGTGATAGCAGATGTCCTGGCTGCTGTTTCGTTCCTCTTTTCTTTCAGGACTCCTTCAATTCCTGTCCATCTAAAGCCTGCTCCCTCAACACCGCCTTTGCCAACCCAATATTCTTCCAACAAATTCCCCTATGCTTAAGTCAGTCATAACTTCCCCATAACATACATATATACACATAAACATATATACACACATATATGAACATATATGTACACATACACATATACATATGTATACACATATATGTGTATATACATGAGTATATGAGTATATATGTATGTATATATAGTACATATGTGTATATATGTATATATAGTACATATGTGTGTATATGTGTATATATGTGTACATATATGTGTGTGCGTATATATATGTATATATCTCGCTAAGGAGATAAAGGCCATCTCCACTGTAATACACAAACAAACACAAACTCTCAAACCACTGAGATCGAACATCCGTCAAGCTCATCGAGATGCAAACATGAAGCTAGACTAAATTTGATTTTTTAAATGATACAGAAAATATCACAATTCATTATATTTAAAAAAGTTAGAAATTCACTAATTTATTATAATTTCATATTTACTGTCAACAATTAGCCAACTATATAGTTATAATTTCTGTCTTAAATTCCATTTATTTAACAACCCTTTTCTGTAATTAATATGAAGATTATTGAATCTAGAACTAGAGATATATAACAGGATTCCTGAAAAGGAGGATTTTTAACATGCAAAAAAGGTGTCATTTAAAATTTGGCAGACACTTTTTATTCTAAGTGAAAACAGCAAAGTATACCTAAGGAGAGATTTTCATACTCTGCAAAAAAAAAAATTAGACTTCAGTGGTCGTTATTATATAAATGAAATACCTAGAGAAGGAACTTTTTTGTTTGTTTGTTTTTTATGTATTGACAAAGCATCCCTTTTCAATATCCTTTGTATGCTGAGTAGAATTTTAGATAGCACATAGGCAAGTGTGAAGTAGCAATGTATTGCAGTAATTGAGAGGGCAAGCTCTGGAGTCAGACTGTTAATGGATTCTGATGCTAACACACATAAACACATGCACACACACACACATGTAGTTGACCCTTGAATGACATAGGGGAGGCTATGAACCCCCCCTACACAGTCAAAAACTTAAGTAATAGCTTACTGTTGCCTGAAAGCCTTTCCAAAAACATAAACAGTTGATTAACACATACTTTGTAACACATATTACAATTACTATATACTGTATTACAATAAAGTAAGCTTGAGAAAAGAAAATGTTATTAAGAAAATCACAAGGAAGAGAAAGCATATTATCTACTAAGTAGAAATGGGTCATCATAAGGGTCTTAAACCTCATTGTCTTCACATTGAGTAGGCTAAGGAGGAAGATGAAGAGAAAGGGTTGGTCTTGCTCATGGGTAGCAGAGGCAGAAAAGGTGGAGGACGTGGAAGGGGAGGCAGGAGAGGAGACACACTTGGTGTAAGTTTTATGGAAAGTAATCTGCATATATGCAGACCTGCACAGTTCAAACCCACGCTGTTTGAGGGTAAACTGTTTATTTATTGCTTTGGGAAATTTTCTTAATTGATCAACCCTCAGTTTCTTTATCTGTAATATAAAACTATTTGTAATATATTATCTGTGATATGGGAGCTATAGCGTTATTGTGAAGATTAAAAGAAAACATACATAGCTAAATATATTTTATCATTTTTATTAGGGGTTAAAAAAGCTCTTGGGAGGAATCTATTCAAGATTTCTAAATATCCCATTTGCAGTTCAACCATTATTAGGGTCTTCTGAATTACCTGTGATGGTCTTGATGGAGGTTCATTGATAGGGAAAGGGGACTCATGTCTCTAAATGTGAATTCAAAGAAAGTAAAGGGAAGTCTATCAGGTGACACAGGATAGAGAAATCATTAATTTGGTTAAAGAAAATTTCATAAGCCATTAAATTAAAAATGAGATTTTTTCCCTCCTATTTTAGTAGATTTGAATTATTTTATCTGAAAGAGATCTTAGTAAATACTTATGGAAATTAAGATAATTATTCAATAAGAAAGCTGACTGAGCAAGAAATAGTTTGCATTGAATAACTGGTAAGATTTTCTTGAAGTTTTGTAAGGAATAAAAATCAACATCTCTTTGGTAAGTTTGAGCCATTCTTTTCAAAAACAATTTTTTGCCATTTTATATACAGAATGAATTTAAATGACTCATAAAGAAGGAATTTAAAAAAAACAAAAGGGAGAAAAAAGAAATGTCTTTACTGAGCTGAATAAGTAGTAAATTTTGAAAGTGAAAGCAGGACAAAATAATGGTCCCTAAAATAGAGGAAAATGTGCAGATTTGAGAATACTAGAGGTAGAGATTTTTAAATATAATAACTTCTAAAACTAAAGTAAAATCAGCATAAAAGATAAGTGTTTTATGAAATAATAAGAAATAAACTTTAGTGAATTAAGGACTAGCATATATTAATGTTATGTTCATAATGTTTTATCTTTGCACTGCCTCAGTAATTTTCTATTTAGAAAGAAGAAACAGTCAAAATATACCACTAAGAAATGATACAATATATGACATGGTTTGGATGTATGTCCCCTCCAAATCTCATTTGAAAGGTAACTTCCAATGTTAAAAGTTAATCCCCACAGGTAAACTCTGATGTGTGTATATGTGGCGGGGGTGGGGAGGGGTTGTTAAGGGCCCAGTCTTCACTCACCTGGGCCGGGACTAGTCGAACAGTGGCAACAGAGCTCTGCTAGCACAGAGACTACTTATATATAGCTGGAATTATTTCCTTTTTCTTATGTTTTTTTCTCTATAGTGCTTTTAATAAACACATGATTCTGTGTGTGTATGTCTCTACAAATATATATACGTACATACACACACAGTTTTGGCTGTTGTGCTGGAGTCATTTTCTATTTAGATTATGTCCATCTCACCTGCAAGAAGAGCTCTCCAGGGATTGCCTTTAGATTACATATTTATTACTGCATTAATTCCATTCTTGAAAATAAATTGAACAATACTGAAAATCTTAGGATAGGCTCTTCATTTTATAATATTCCATTGAACTTTAGAGAAGTGTGTATATATATATATATATATATATATATATATATATATACGGGTATATATATATGGAGATATATATATGGAGATATATATATGGATATATATATATGGAGATATATATGGAGATATATATATGGATATATATATGGAGATATATATATGGATATATATATGGAGATATATATATATGGATAGATATATATGGAGATATATGGATATGTATATATGGATATATATATGAATCCATTAGCATTGCTATAAAGGAATACCTGATAGTGGGTAAACACAAAAATATTTAAATGTTAAAAAATCAAAACATGTCAGAGAAACTAGAGGGGCTTTTAATATCTGTGTGGGCAGTGTTGGTATTTGACATAAGTATGAGGCCTAGCTGATCAGCTAGATCTCTTCATTCTCCTTCTAATGCTGCTGTATGGGATTTTTGCTGAATTTGGAGAAGTGTAAGTGCAACAGAGTTTCGGGGCTTGCCTAGCAAGAAGAAACAGAAACAGGTTTCTCCAATTCTTCAGTTTCTGTTGGAAATAGAGGCCTGTAATAATCACAAACAGGTAGTCTTTACTGGCTTTTGAATGAGAAAGTCAAGTGAAACCGACTATAGCCATAAGCCAGATCTGTTCCAGCTTAACTATTGATTGGATTGGATCAAATCAGTCAGCCACTCATACTATCTGGCTGGAAGAAGAAAGAACATTCTGGGTGGAAATAATATTACTCCAGGGTGTACAAACCTTTTAAATATAATACCAGAAAAAAAATACTGGTTTAACTCATTTCTTAAATACATATATATGGGTTTGAAAGTCTATTAATTGTTTGTAAAACTTAATAACCACAGAACACACTTTTGAGATACTGGAGCCTGTTCTCCCTACCCTGGTTTCTGAATGCCTTGGCCTGCATCCTTCTGCACATTCTTCTACTACTGTAACATTAATCCCACCACCACCATTGCTCAAAGAACATGAACATCACATAAAAATCTGACATGTTTTGATTTTTAAATATTGTATCACTTTTCATGACACAGAGAGATCACTAAAAATAGGTTTATGTGAGCTCTGAAGTACATAGAAAACTCCATTATACATTGATTATGAATCTTTAAATGATATAAACTTTATATTGAGAAAATAAATTATGTGCACCAGCATAAAACCTCTAACTGCAATAAAAAAAATACATATACAATGAAAAAGTAGTCTCTTTGCTATCACAGTACTTCACTGCATTTCCCTAGAAAAAGCTATTGTGTTAATATCTTGAATACTTCCAAAAATATCCAATTTCCATTTAAGTGCGTATGTGTGTGTGCGTGTATATATATATATACACGCACACACACATACGTATATATGTAGATATATAGATAATATATATATGCACATATATAGCTATATATATAATATATATAATATATAATATATAATATATATGCACACATATATACACACATATGTATATATATAGATAATACCTATTTATATAGATAATATATATGTATACAAAAATGGGAGAAGACTATACTTAACATTTTTAACTTTGAATTTTGTATTTTTTTTCCACCACACCCGGCTAATTTTTTGTATTTTTTAATAGAGATGGAGTTTCACCGTGTTAGCCAGGATTGTCTCGATCTCCTGACCTCGTGATCCGCCCACCTCGGCCTTCCAAAGTTCTGGGATTACAGGCATGAGCCACTGTGCTGAATTTTCCATTTCTTAATAAACGTTGGGGATATTTTCATATTAGCACATGTAAATCTACCTTATTCTTCTAGTAGTTGCAAAATATTCCAGTGGGTGAATATATTATACTCATTTTAGGTAGTGAAATATTGATGGTTGTTTTGATTGTTAATGATCAGTTATCATTATAATCGAAGCTGCAAAATTTATTTTGTCCTGTACAATCTTTGTACATAATGTATACATATTTTTTTCCTCAACATTCTAAGCATGATTGTGTATCATTAAATATTTCATCTTTGGCAATTCACTGCTCAAAAATACGTTATAGGCAATTTAATTTGCTTTTCTTTATGAATTATAGTGAATAGTTTTTCATGTTTAAAATTAACTTTTTAAACGAACTCTGAATCCACAGTCTCTACCCATTTTCTTGTTGGCTTTTTAAAAATCCATGGTTCAATATTTAAATAAGCCTTCATATTCCAACATTGAGGCTGCCTGCAACATGCAACATGACTGAGGAGTTTGCAGTATACTCAGGCTCTCAGGGAAAAGGCTCAAAGAAGTTAGCAGTGGCTCAGATATTTTTCCCCAAGTCATTACTAAAATTTTTTTTTAATTTTCTTTTATTATTATTATACTTTAAGTTTTAGGGTACACATGCACAATGTGCAGGTTAGTTACATATGTATACATGTGCCATGCTGGTGTGCTGCACCCATTAACTCATCATTTAGCATTAGGTATATTCATTACTAAAATTAATACAACAATTCAGGAAAGGTCAAATGACTTTTCTCTGGTATCATTTATATCTATAAGGGGAAGTTCTGTGACATACTGAGGAAAAAATGTTGGTATATTTGAAATGGATTGTCAAGAATATTTTTTATAAATAAAGTTAACATTGCTATTAAATATACCATGGTATCACAGCTATGTTGTCAGCACCAATCCTTGTGGCTTGAGATTAAGCATATGCTATTATTGCCAATTGCACACATGCATTACTTCTAAGTTTCCCAGCCAATAATCAAGGTTATCTTCATCATTGTGATAATGGAAGATAATCATGATTTAATATGACTCTTCAGGGAGTCTATCAAACACTTGGAATATCACTTGTAGGATCCTGAAAAGATAAATGGGCAACAACTAATAGAAAATTGTTATTACAAGATGCTCTTTGTTTATATGAACGTTAAGTTCATTAGATAGCATCATACGTTTTCAAGAATCTAAAGCATATTATCAGAGCCTATATTCTATGTTTTCAAGATCTAGAATGATCAGAATATGAGGAACACCGATGTTTCAAAGACATTATATTTTTATAGTTCCCTCTGTGTCACAATCTTATATAATATTCCATAATCCATCACTTCACCTTAGTTACTATCTTGAACGTAAGGAATTATTTTTGGAGGATAACCTGTCAATTATTTAGAAAATTATCCTATGAAAATCTATGAAGGTTGCCCGACTTTTAGATTGTATCTTTCTTGATTCACTATTGTGGCTGTTTCCTCAATATAAGCCACAATAATTGTTCATAAATGCAATGAATCAAGCAAAAAATATAAGTAATTAATAAGCAAACCTTAAAAATCCCACAGCAATTTTCCTAAAGTAATGATTGGCTTATTATCTTTGTGGAGCCAGTACTTTATTCAAAAGTATCCCTATTCTTGTAAGAAATACTTATGGCTTAGTTATCAGGCACTAATTTATGTGCTAGGACACAGCAATGAACACAGTGGGGAAACATCCCTACCTCATGGAATTTTCATTCAGTGAGATGTGATGGAAAGGGAAACTTGAATAGAATGGAATATTCAGGATGGTGATTTTGCTAAGAAATAACAATTCTCTCCAATATCTTCTGGAGATTTTTATGAGGGCAATCAATCTTCAGTACAAAATCACAGAGTAATTCAAGATTTTGAAGCATAAAAAAAGATTACATTATATTACATATGCTATAGTTGGCAAAATCAGAGTTCAGCTTTTTTTCCCCCAAAGTTAGCACATCTTTATGTTGCCACCGTATGTAGACTGACATTACGCTCGCTTTGGCTTAGTTTGACATTAAAATGTATCAAAAATTTTATTTTAAATGTCCCTTAATTGCCCAGTTGCCTTCTCACTCAGCACGGGGAACCACTTCCACTGGTTTCTTATGCATACTTCTAAAGATCATTATGCATACTGAAGTAAATAAATGTTGATTGTTATCTTCTTGGTTGTTTTCAGCAAAAATAATAACATATATCTCGCCTATAATGTATTTTCTTTACTTATCAAAATATTGTAGACATCATTTCACATTAATGTACAAAGAGTTTCTTCAATTTTTATAGCTCATGTGATTTCATTTTATGGATATATCATTTAAAAAATATTTTCCTGAATATATGATATCCAACTATTGACACCATTTCAAGTAGGTAAAGGTATTGTATAATTTGTTAGTGGTATTTTTACTGTAATTTCTTAAAATATCATATTTCACATTTGTCTCCATCTTATTTTAATCTGGCAAAAACAAAATATGCTTCATAAACACTACTATTAAATTTGAACATATCAATGTTATTTTAGGAAATACGTTTGGATTTGTTGCTTGCACCTCACCTTTTCAAAATAAACTAACTATTGAAACTTCTCTCTAAAATGGAAGAGTGGAATTCAACCCACCTGGGGAATAACTGAAAAAAAGCTGGGATGGCAGAAGGGAAAATATAACTGTGCTAAAAGAGGATGAATTGAATATTAGGGGCTGGATAGAGAGAGATCTCTAATATCTATGACATAAAGAAAACAAAACTGATGGTGGTGGGAGGTCGTGTTCTACCATGGAAATTATCTTTTGAAAAACATTTTATGAATTGTTGAAGTAAAAATGTTGGGAAAGGCTGAGTGCTGGGAGAAGCTGAGGCAGGGATTGCATGTCTGATATAATGTAAAAGAGTCTTGGAACATGTCCGGGGTCCAGGGTCTAAAACCCCTTGTGGCCTTTGGAACACCAAGCTCTGTGCTAAAGGGTGGAAGTCTACCCTGACAAACCATAATGTAAGCCCAGGGCATAAAATCCCTTGTGGCTTGGATAAAATCCAGGGTTCTTGGCTCTGGAATGTGTCTAGACTTGCTGGCTCCTTGCTTCTTGCTCTCCCAGGATCGATTGTATCTTGAGTTAAAAGAACCTGCTCTCCATTATCTCAAGTAGCAGAACATGTTCCTAATAAGTGCTAAACCATCACAGCTGTAGATCACAAGCCTGCCCTTTTGACCTCCACATTCTCACCACCTGTTTCTCTGTTGGATTACCAATAAATAGCGTGGGGTCCCAGAGCTTGGGGCCTTCGCAGCCTCCACGATCGCGATGGCCCCTCGGTCCCAGCTTTACTTCTCAAACTGTCTTTTTCTCAATCCTTTGACTCCGCCGGACTTCATCACCCCCATGACCTGGTGTTGGGTCTGATCACCCCAACATAAAAATGTTATGATTTTAACTTCTCTTAATGGGAAAAATACACAAGAATATGGAAGATCATGGGTGAAATAGTTATAATAAAAGAGCAGCATTCAGTGGAAATAAATATGCATTCATTGCATGGTTTTTGGGTCTTTCTCTTGCCCTTCTTTATTAGTATCCAGATTTATCTTGGGGAAATTTTATTAACACTAATTTGTCATGTACACTACACTTAACAAATGGTGTGGCAGCCATGCAGTTTGAGTAAGACCGAATTAACTCTTGACTCTGGAAGCAGAGTATTTCTTTACCAAAAATATTTGTTCCTTTTACCCAAGACTGAACAATCCTCATAGAATTTGAGACTTTGGCTAGCAATACCATAACATGACTGTTTATTCCCTTCTCAACAGTGTGGAGTACAGACAGCAAACTTAGAACTGCAACAGCCATGTTGCCACCATGAAGGGTGCCACCTGAGCATGAAGGTGTGCACCCCATGGGGATCACAGTGAGTTGGCTCCAGAGCCCTGTTCAAACCATGCCTGCGTATCATACTTTCTCTGAAATATTTAGGAATATGACCAAAATATACTCCTTAATATTCCATCAGTTTGCTTTGTGTTTTCTATTTCTTTCAGTTTGGATGTACCCTCATGAATACAAATGAAAAAGAAGGGGAAGGGGAAGTTAGGAGAGACAGAAGAGCTGGAAGTTATCCCTGGTCTATTGCATAAATTACTTATTTAGAAATTCTCTTGAACTTCTCTGTATAATTCTTTTGAAAATGGACAAGTAAACAAGTAAACAAAATTCTGATCATATATCATATTTCTTTTTCTTTTTTTTTTTTTTTGAGATGGAGTCTGGCTCTGTCACCCAGGATGGAGTGC
This sequence comes from Homo sapiens, assembly GCF_000001405.40. Classification (NCBI taxonomy): domain Eukaryota; kingdom Metazoa; phylum Chordata; class Mammalia; order Primates; family Hominidae; genus Homo; species Homo sapiens. The sequence continues at coordinate 83,264,843 of NC_000007.14, forward strand.
AGAGGCATGATCTTGGCTCACTGCAACCTCCACCTCCCTGGTTCAAGCGATTCTCCTGCCTCAGCCTCCTATGTAGCTGAGATTAGAAGTGCACACCACCAAACTGGCTAGTTTTTGAATTTTTAGTAGAGACAGGCTTTCACCATGTTTGCCAGGCTGGTCTCAAACCCCTGACCTCAGGTGATCTGCCCACCTAGTCCTCCCAAAGTGCTGGGATATAGGCACGAGCCACTGCGTCCGGCCTGATTATATATTACATTTCTGAATTGATATCATTATTTGTATCTTTATCTTTATCTGTATGCCTACATAAAACTTCCTAGTTTTCTTTCAATGCTGGTGTCCCTATGCCTTCAATTCTTTATCTTATTTTCCTTATACATCTGTATCACAATGAAGATACCTCTATAAGCTTTCTTTAATTTATGCCCTATCAGATTATGTTACTTTTCTATTAACTTTAATGGAAACTTCTCAGCTTCAAAACATTGTTTGAAAGTATTCAGTTTTTTTTTTTTTTTTAACATGTGAACAAAAAACCAAACACCACATGTTCTCACTCATAAAAAGGAATGAGATCATGTCCTTTGCAGGGACATGGGTGAAGTTGGAAGCCATCATCCTCAGCAAACAAACACAGAAACAGACAACCAAACACTGCATGTTCCCACTCATGAGTGGAAGTTGAACATTGAGAACACATGGGCACAGAGAGGAGAACAACATACACCAGGGCCTGTTGGGGGTCAGGGGGTGAGGGGAGGGAACTTAGAGGACGGGTCCATAGGTGCAGCAAACCACCGTGGCACACGTATGCTATGGAAAAAACATGTCCATCCTGCACATGTATTCCATTTTTTTAGAAGAAGTTAAAAATAAAAGAAAGTATGCAGTTTTTAAACCTAGCCTATGATCATTAACCAGTTCAGAGATAGCATTAATTCAACTCAAAAAGAAAATTACAATGTGGTAAATTTTATGCTATATTTCTGTGTTGTATTCAGTGAGCTTCTAAAATATGAATCATCAAAATGGCCATGTAATAACACAGCTTATATACTTCTGAACAGAGAGAATATTGAATATTTGAATCAAGCACCTGCAATCATTTTCAAAGTCCTCCAGACTTGTGATGTTGTACCAAAAAGAGAAATGAATTCTGGACAGATCAGAGCCACTGAGGAAAAGAGCCTCAGAACTTCAAACTGAAAACATTGACATAGGTTCTTGAGCATTATGGAAGAAAAGTTGCTTTCTAACTAGCTGAGCCTTCAGATACTTACAAATAAAAATCATCACTGTGCATTTCACCAAGAGATAAAGAGTCTTGTCAGCTGTACTCTACAATATTTATTACTAAGGAGTTACATTTTACATTGGTCAACAAGGGTATACAGAAAGCATTATATTTTGGTGATAATAACCTTTTAAGATAAGGAGTAGGACAAACACATGTCACAGTTTATTTGGTACTGTTCTTGGATATACTTCTCTGTCTGTTTAATTAATTATTAATAGTTTCCCTTTCACTTTTAAATATTTCCTTGTTTGGACGGCAATTTATAGGGTCAACCTACTTAGGGGTGGCTAGTAATCACGTATATATAAGAAAGGCTAGTTAGAGAAAATATTAGTTATATATATTATATACATATATAATCATATATATACTATATACATATATAATTATATATATACACCAAAATAATTGTCCTCTTATTACCAGAACATCTGCAAACAGATTATGAAATTGAGTTTATTGACAATTCAAAGTCTTCAACCCTTCGATGTTCCTTCCAGAAAAGTATTTCTTAATTCTTATATTTTTCTATCTTAATACATGTTAAAGTACAAATTTTCTGGGTTAAAATAAACAACCAATTCTTAATCATGCCAAGAGTACAAATAGAGCCATCTCGGTAATAAGGTTTGGAGAAAGTGGGGCAGGAGAAGAGGAGGGAGGGAGGAAAGAAAAGAAGGGAGAGAAGAGAAGCTGATTAACATCAGCATAAAATCCACTACATTTTATTTTACTAAGCAACTTTTCTATTGTGATGAATGACATAATGAACAGTCAAGAGATAACCTAAAAGTTAGAAGACATCCTTCAGATATGTTTATTCATTCAACAAATATTTATACTCATTTGTAAAGAGCCTAGAAATCTTACCTTGCTTTATTTAACTTTTCCCTATAATATTAAGCCTAATATGCAGCACGTGGAATATTCTTTTTAATCTCATGGCTCAGATGCTGTTCTTAGCCTCCCCAAATGTATATCCCGAAGTCCTCAATCAAAATTTCTTCAGGCCACATGTAAAGTGAGGAGAGATGTTGTGAAAACTGTCTCCTATGGAAACCGTATTACAGCTTTGTGTCTTTATGTGTAACCAGGAACAACATTCACTTACACAAATTGAAATTTTATGAGTAACACATTGTACTATGGGTCATGAATTTTATGTGATTTATAGCTTTGGATCTTCAGCTGAAGGTTTTACAATGTTTTATTTGTTAAACATTTTTTTCTGTTAATCTATTTTATGGAGTGTATCTTTGTAAATAGAGCTGCTATGATATTCTTCCCATTTTATTTCCCCTCATTTGCTTGCATATATAAACAAAAGGAAGATAGAGAACTATGAAATGGCAGGGCTGCTTGGATGCCTGAGTGATTGTGAAATGCTAGACTTAAGGATGTTGCTAGGAAGCTGCTGCGGCTCTCTCACTGTAAATTAGCCACTCATTACAGCCAGTCAGATAAACAACCTTGCATGGGATGACTGGGGGGTTTTCAGCTCTTTACATTATTTGCTGAAGATTGCTTTCCTACCCACATTTCCTTCGATTTGATTAAAATGCATATATTTCTCTTACTATCTTATCTTGTCATGCAGTTCTAAAGTGTGCTGCTAAGAAATCATCACATAGAATCACAGAAAGGATGATTTTATGATGGAGGAATATTCATCCCATATTTTCTTCATTTCTTTTAGCTTTTTCTTAGAATGGGTTTTTTTCAGTCTCCATAACCAAGAAGTATTTCTTTGTATCTCTCACCCAGGAGAGTTGTCTGTAGTTTAGTCAAAATTATTCCGTTTAAGCCTTGGTGTTGCTACCAATGTGAAGTTGATAGGTCAGTAGAGCTAGTCTCTCTCTCTCAATTCTCTAATCTTAGCAATGGTAATGATGGTATTTCCTGCATACTCCACCTCAACAGCTCATTCTCAGAGTCAGGTAAAATGTCACAGGAAAAGGGATTTTGAAAAACATATAGTACTGAGAAAATGAAAGATACCATAATGATGTTTCTGTTTTGTTTTGTTTTAGTTAACCCTCTAAACTATGATACTGTTCAATAGAATTTTCTGCCATGACCAAAGAAACACTTGAAAATGTGGCTATGAGCATGTTAAATTTGGTGGATGTAAGGAACTAAATATTTAAGTTTATTTAATTTTAACTAATTTAAATTTAAATGGGAACGTATAGGTAGAGGCTACCATGTCAGACAACAGAGCTGTAAGGCATTACATTTTTTTTAGTTACTACACACTAAGACTGTTTTTAAACACTTGAAAGTAATCAACCACTAACCTAATAATTTAGGTAAGTCCAGAAGAGATAAGAATTAATGAGACCTAGATTTCTAGACTTCTCTGGGGTAGACTATCTTAAATATATGTGTGTTTATATATATATATATGCTAATATATGCTATCTTAAAAACCTCTGAGATTAAGAAAGTAATTTATTAATGACTATATTGTCAGTAACTATATTTTATAACTATATTGTTAATAAAACAACTCCATATAGTTGACTTATATCATGAGAATACATATACACACATAAATAAAGTCTATTTATATAGTATATTCTGTCAGGTTCAGTGATTTTACTGTGGAATAGTTCATCAGTGAGTCAAAAAACTTAGATACAAGGTCTTACCTAGGATGCTTTTGTACATGACCTTGGTTGATTTACTCTTCTCCCAAAACACCATCAGTGATAAAATAAAATCTTGACTCTTCAGCTTGGCCTTCACAATCTACCTTCTTCTCTACATTTTTTCATCTTCTGTCACTCCATAACCCACAGTAGGCAACTCATCTATTTTTCAGCTTTTTCACATGTTCAATGAATAATTATCAAGAACATACTATGTACAATACATTTTGCTAGATACTAAGGATACACCAATGAACAAAATACCATGTCTGCCACTCATGGAAAATAGTAGAAAATATTGATAAAAATTGCATAATATTATGGACGATATTAGATTCGAATTATATGACATAAAAGTTGTGATTGGAAATTACAACTGGGGCACTGGTTTGGTTTGTGAGAGTCCCAGAAAGTCTTCTCTTTGAGTGTGACAGTTAGTCCTAAAGGTTAAAAGCATTTAGCCAGGATGGAACATTTAGGGGAGAAACGCGACATGACTGTCTTATGGTGCTACCTCTGCCTTTAGCCCTCCCCTTCACATGGTGAAATAGTTTGTTTGTCTCATCAAACTCCCATATTGCTACCTTTGAAAAACAGTCCAAGAACCTTCATCACTGCTAACCTATCTCTGTCATAGCATCTAAGTCTGACAAATTATAATTGCTTGTATTTATGGCAGTCTCCTCTCCAGACTTTGAGTCCCTCTAGAGAAACATGCTTTGTATTTATATCCTCTAGCATTTATTTATTGTGGGGCCCTGAATAAATGTGAGGAATAAAAAATAAATAACAAACTCCCTTCCCTTTCAGAGTTCAAATTAAAAAAGGGAAACAGCTTTGAAATAAATTTTTGTTACTCTACTTGATCCATGCTACAAGAGAGACCTGCCAAACTGCAATAGAATAATGAATAACAGCTTTTAGGGGTAGGAGTAGTCAGAAAAATAAGAAGCAGGTATCCAAATAAATATTTTGTATAGTCTGATAAAATCTACTCCATGATTATTTTAAAAAGAGCTACTAGAATAAAGATTGGTAAAAACAGCACAAATATAGTAAGGCAAATGTAATAAAAAGTAAAGATGAATGGAATCAGTGTCTATGGAAATAGATCTACTGTCAATATTATTGTGTCCATCAAAGACAGCCCTTAACTGTTGCTAACTAAATTTATAGCATGGGCAATCACTAACGTGAACCTGTTTCCTCTTCTATAAAATGCAGAGTGTGGATGGATGTGAGCAATGTTTTCTAAAGAATATTCCATATGGCTTCCTAGAATGTTAATACTAAAAAAAATGTTGGAAGCTCTGAATTCCGTATAATTCATTAGGTTTCTTTAGATTAGGACTTCCCAGAATCTATCATAGGCTAATAAACAGTGTGGCTTACTTGAGGGGCCCATCATACACTTTTCTCAAATCTATTTGAAACATGAAACCTGTGAATCATTTATGTATACAGTTACAATTTACAATAACATAAATAAAAGGAAAAGAATACGGTGCTATGAAATAGAATAACCCACTTTAGATTGGGTGGTCTGGGTACACCTCTCTGAGATCTGAAGTGTGAGATGAAGGATGAAAAGAAATCACAGAGAGGAAGGGACAAGCATTTCAGAAAGAGGAAGCAGTACGTGCATACCCCTGATGATGAAAAGTAACTTGGTTCATTCATTTTAGGTGCTGAAAGGTCACAGCGGTTTGAGCATCTGAAGCTCTGGGTCAGAAAAAGCCAAGTGGCAGAGGTAGATGTAAGCATGGGGCACACTAAGACAGTGCTGCAGTGTTCATAGTTAATCAAGGCATGACTTCATTGAGAAAGTCTTGATAAGAAAGAAAAAGGTCAGCTGAATCAAACAGTGTGCTTACTGATATGATTGATTTTTCCATGTGTCATCAGTACGTTATGTCATAGCAAATCTGTAACAACAGTTCATATTCTGGTACTTTAAGTAAAACTCCAGGAACCTGGACTTAATTCTGAGTGCAATGGAAAGCTACTGAGTTTAAGCAGAAAAGTGATATTCATTCTGAAAAAAAAAAAATCACTTTGAAGGTGTTAAAAACCAGAGATGGATGTTTCTGCCCTCACATTGCTTATGCCTGCATATATACAATGTAATGTTGCCCATTCTGTTGACAAATTTGACTGTACTTATGTCCAGTGAGAAATAAAATGGGAGTAAGAGATTCTCCTTTTCACAGTTTTAATGTCCCTTACACATTTTTAAAAGTGGGTATACAGGGCTCAATATCACCATTTTAATACTCTAATTTTTCATCCTTCCCTTTCATTTTTGGTCATACTATTTCTATTCTACCCCAAAGTGAAATGAATAGAAGACTTTTGGGCAGAATCTATTAGAGAATATCTCTTCTTTCTCTTAACTGTTCTACACTAAAATTATTCTAAAGAATGAATTTTAATTCTTCTATTCCTTGCAACACAAACTCTGAGTTTGGAAAGCTATATTTCCTTCTGTCTTATCATTCAATATACTTTCCCATACCCTGGAAGCAAAATATGAAGTGTTCAAGGACTGTGCTCCTTTCTCTTGAATGCTGTGAAGTTTCTTTACTAAGAGTAGCCCATTTAGAACTGTGTGCAGCACCATCTTGTGACAAATGAAGTAACTGCTTTTAGTGAAGAGCATGTGCACATTAGTGTCTGATCTGCATAATTCAACACCAAATTTAGAGGTTTTTATAAAATCAGTGAGCAGTGAGGAGCGGATATGGTATCTTGGCATTTCATGTTATTTTTCCATCAGAACTTGAAGTAAAAAATTGAAAACAATAACATTTGAATTATTCAATGCTAAAAATGTTCTCTAAAAAGTTATATCCCACTTTTACTAAAAAAAATTATATTAATGAAAAAGTAAGCTAGAGGTTAATGATGCACTTAAATATTTAATATCTCCAGGCTAAAGTTTGTAGATACTGAATCATAATCACTTTATGCTGGTGACATCGCAAGTGATGACCTTTTCCCAAGAGCCCTGCTCCACAAGCAAGATAAGTATTTAGTCTTGTGGCCAGGTGTGGTGGTTCACACCTGTAGTCCCAGGAATTTGTGAGGCAGAGGCTGGCAGATTGAGCCCTGAAGGGCAAGGCTGCAGTGAGCTGCGATAGTGCCACCGAGTGACAGAGCGAGATCCTCTCCCCAAGTTACTCTCTTCATTTTCAATGTACAATTTATAGTCAGCACACAGTTATTCTCAACTAGACATAACACATTGCTTTATGGAATAGAGGAATTTTCTGTGTATATGACTGGGAACACAAAGTCCTGATTTATTATCATGGCCCTTGCTCTGCTTAGCACCTTTGTCTGGAAAACATCTCCAAAAAACATAGAAACTTTTGAATTCTATAGAAGGGAAATATTTTCTTTATAAAATAGTGGAAAAATATTTTCTGCTAAATATTATTGAATGGTATGCATTATGTGAAATAGTGTTATTTGTAGATGTTGCTCTTTTAGTCATAAAGTTCTCAAATGCTGATTTAAGGATCCAGCTTGTTTGGACCTCACACAGAAAATTGAATAAAAATAGGTTAGCACTTCTAACTTAATAAATCTTTTAGTGAGTATGCTCAAGAAGGAAGAGAGACTTCAGATTATGCAAAATGTTGACCATAGAAGCAAGGAACAATCACAGCATTTCTCCATTGTTTCCCTTTTCTGGTGAAGTAGAATAAACCCCTGATTAAATAAATTCAACTGCTGACATTCAAATGCACACTTAAATGTTATAATTTTTTAAATTTCAATAGCTTTTGGGGTACGAGTGGTTTTGGTTACATGAATGAAATATATAGTGGTGAATTCTGAGATTTTAATGCACCTGTCACCCGAGTAGTGTACGTTTTACCCAATATGTAGTTTCTTCTTCCATAACTCCTTCCCACCCTGTCCCTTCTGAGTCTCCGAAGTCCATTATGTCACTCTGTATGCATTTGCATACTCATAGCTTAGCTCCCGCTTATAAGTGAGTACATATGATATTTGGTTTTCCATTCTTGAGTTACTTCACCAAGAATAATGGCCTCAGTTACATCCAAGTTGCTGCAAAAGGCATTATTTCATTCTTTTTATGGCTGAATAGTATTTCATGGTGTATATATACCACATTTTCTTTATCTACTCATTGGTCAATGGGCACTCAGGCTGGTTCCATATCTTTGCAACTGTGAATTGTGCTGCAATAAATGTACACATGTATGTGACTTTTTTATGCAATGACCTTTTTTCCTTTGGGTAGGAAAAGTACATCTACCATTCAATCCAGTAATTCCACTACTCCTCTTTATTTTTTGGCCGTACAATCCCTCTGGGTAGTGGAATTACTGGATTGAATGGTAGATGTACTTTTAGTTCTTTAAAGAATCTTTGTACTCTTTTCCATAGAGGTTGTACTAATTTACATTCCCAACAGCAGTGTGTAAGGGTTCTGCTTTCACCACATCCCTGACAACATCTATTGTTTTTTGGCCAATGGCCATTCTTACAGGAATAAGTCGTATCTCATTGCGGTTTTAATTTGCACTTCCTTGATGATTACTGATGTTGAGTATTTTTTATATGTTTATTGGCCACTTGTATATCTTCTTTTGAGAAGTGTCTATTCATGTTCTTTGCCCAGTTTTTGATGGGATTAAATGTATTTTTCTTGCTGATTTGTTTGAGTTCCTTCTAGATTCTGGATACTAGTCCTTTGTCAGATGCATACTTTTCAAATATTTTCTCCCATTCTTCATGAGAAGAAACAATCATGAGAGAAAGCTCTTTAGTTTAATTAGGTCCCATTTATTTATGCTCTTGTTGTATTTGCTTTTGGGATTTCAGTCATAAATTCTTTGCCTAGGCCAATGTCCAGAAGAGGTTTTCCAACGTTATATTTTCATGGTTCCAGGTCTTACATTTAATTCTTTAATTCATCTTGGGTTGATTTTTATATAAGGTGAGAGATGAGGATCCAGTTTCATTCTTCTACATGTGGCTAGCTAGTTCTACATGTGGCTAGCTAGCATTTAATAAATAAATACCCAATTTATTTATGTATTATTTATTAAATATTTAATACCCTATTTAACATTTAATAATTTAATATTTAATATTTAATTTAATATTTAATAAATACCCTATTTATTAAATAGGATATCCTTTTCCCAATTTATGTTTTTGTATGCTTTGTTAAAGACCAGTTGGTTGTAAGCATTTGGGTTTATTTCTGGGTTCTCTATTTTGTTCCATTGGTCTATGTGCCTACTTTATACTAGTACCCTGCTGTTTTGGTAACCCTAGCCTTGTAGTATAATTTGAAGTCCAGTAATGTGATGTCTCCAGAATTTTTGCTTAGAATTGCTTTGGCTATTCAGGCTCTTTTTTGCTTCCATATGAATTTTGGACTTTTGTTTCTAATTCTGTGAAAAATGATATTGGTATTTTGATGGGAATTGCATTGAATGTGTAGAGCACTTTGGGCAATATGATCACTTTCACAATATTGATTCTTCCAATCCATGAGCATAGGATGTGTTCACATTTGTTTTTGTCATCTATTATTTCTTTCAGCAGTGTTTTTTAGTTTTCCATGTAGAGATCATTCACTCCTTGGTTAAATATATTCCTAGGTATTTTATTTCTTTTGTAGCTGTTATAAAAGGGATTGAGGAATTGGTTTGATTTGCAGCTTGGTCGTTGTTGGCGCCTAGTAGTGCTACTGATATATACTGATATATACATCGATTTCTTAACCTGAGACTTTACTGCAGTCATTTATCAAATCTAGGAGTCCTTTGGAGGAGTCTTTAGGGATTTTTAGGTATACGATCATATTGTTAAACAGTGATAGTTTGACTTTTTTCAATTTGAATGCCCTTTATTTATTTCTCTTGCCTGATTTCTCTGGCTAGGATTTCCAGTACTGTATTGAAACAAAATAGTGAAAGTGGGCATCCTCATCTTGTTTCAGTTCTCAGGGGAATGCTTTTGATTTTTCCCCATTCAATATAATGTCAACTGTGGGTTTGCCATATATGGCTTTTATTAACTTAAGATAAGTTCCTTCTATGCCTAGTTTGATGAGGGTTTTTGATAATAAAGTGATGCTTAATTTTATCAAATGCTTTTTCTGCATCTGAAGAAATAATCTTTTTTTGTTTTTATTTCTGTTTATATGATGTATCACATGCATTGACTTGCATATGTTAAACCATCCCTGCCTCCCTGGGATGAAACCCACTTGATCATGGTATATTATCTTTTTGATGTGCTGTTAGATTTGGTTAGTTAGCATTTTGCTGAGGATTTTTGCATCTATGTTCATCAGGGATATTGGTCTGTAGCTTTCTTTTTTTGTTATGTCCTTTCCTGGTTTGGGTATCAGGGTGGTACTTGCTTCATAGAATTATTTAAGGATTCCTTCTCTCTCAATCTTCTGGAATAGTTTCAGTAGGATTGGTACCAATTCTTTGAATGTCTGATAAAATTCAGCTGTGAATCCATCTGGCCCTAGGCTTATATTGTTGGCATTTTTTTTATTACCGATTCAATCTAGCTGCATGTTATTTGTCTGTTCAAATATCTATTTCTTCTTGATTTAATCTAGGAGGGTTGCATGCTTCCAGGAATTTATCCTTTTTCTTTAGGTTTTCCAGTTTGTGTACATAGAGATGTTCATAATAGTCTTGATCTTTGTATTCCTGTGGTTTTGGTTGTAATACCTCCAGTTTCCTTTCTAATTAAACTTATTTGAAACTTCTCTCTTATTTTCTTGGTTAATCTAGCTAATGTTTTATCAATTTTGTTTATCTTTCCAAAGAAGCAGCTTTTTGTTTCATTGTCCTTTGTTTTTTTGTTTGTTTCAATTTCATTTAGTTCTGCTCTGATCATTGTTATTTATTTTATTCTGCTAGCTTTGGGTTTAGTTTGTTCTTGTTTCTCTAGTTCCTTGAAGTGTGACATTAGGTTGTCAATTTGTGATCTTTCAGACTTTTTGATGTAGGTAATCATTGAGTAACATAAACCTTCCTCTTAGCATTGCTTTTGCTGTATCCCAGAGGCTTTGAAAACTTGTGTCACTGTTATCAGTTATTTCAAATAATTTTTAAATTTCTATCTTGATTTCATTGTTATCTAAAAATCATTCAGAAACATATTGTTTAATTTTGATGTATTTGTATAGTTTTGAGAGTTCCTTTTGGAGTTGATTTCTAGTTTTATTTCACTGTGATCCAAGAAGATACTTGATGTGACTTTGATTTTTTTTTAATTTATCAGAATTTGTTTTGTGGCCCATCACATGATCTATCATGGAGAATTTTCCATGTGCTGGTGAGAAGAATGTATATTCTACAGTTATTCGGTAGAATGGACCATAAATATCTGATAGGTCCATTTGTTCTAGAATGTAGTTTAAGTCCATTGTTTCTTTGTTGACTTTATGTCTTGATGATCTGTCTAGTGCTGTTAGTGTAGTGGGAGCTGCAGTGTTAGGTGCATATAAATTTAGGATTGTCATATCTTCTTGTTTGATTAATCATCATTATATAATGACCTTCTTTGTCTTTTTTTTTTTTTTTTTTTACTGTTGTTACTTTACAGTCTGTCTTATCTGACATAAGAATAGCTACTCCTGCTCACTTTCGGTTTCCTTTTGGGTGGAAGATCTTTTTCCACCTCTTTACCTTGAATTTACCTAAATCCTTACATGTTAGGTACATCCCTTAAAGACAGCAGATATTTGGTTTGTGATTTTTTTAATCCATTCTACCAATCTGTATCTTCCAATCTATCTACATTTACATTAAACATTAATATTAAGATGTAAGGTACTATTCCATTCATCATGTTAGTTGTTATCTAGACACTTTGATTTTTTGTTATGTTATTGTTTTATAGGCCCTGTGAGTTTCATGCTATTTTGCTGCATATTGAGTACCTGTTTCAAGATTCAGAACACTGTTTAGCGTATCTTGTAAGGTTGGTCTAGTAGTACCAAATTCTCTCAGCATTTGCTTATCTGAAAATGACTTTATTTCTCCTACATTTACGAAACTTAGTTTTGCTGGATACAGAACGCTTGGCTGACAGCTATTATGTTTATGAAGGTTAAAGATAGGACTCTAATCCCTTCTGGCTTGTAAGGTTTCTTTTGAGTAGTCTGCTGTTACTCTGATAGGTTTTGCTTTATAGCTTACCTGATGCTTTTGTCTCACTGCTCTTAGAATTCTTTCATTCATGTTGGCTTTAGATAGCCTGATAACTATACTCCTTGTTGATGAGCTTTTTTGCAATGACTCTCGCAGGAGTTCTTTGAACTTCTTGTATTTGAATATCTAAATCTCTAGCAAGGCCAGGGAAGTTTTCCTCAATTATTACCTCAAATAAGTTTTTCAAACTTTTTGCTTTCTCTTCTCCCCCAGGAACATCAATTATTCTAAGGTTTGGCTCTTTTATATAATCAGTTTATTTTGTTTATTTATTTATTTTTCTTATTTTTCCTGATTCAGTCCATTAAAAAGCCTTGTCTTCAAGCTCTGAAATTCCTTCTTCTATTTGTTATAGTCTATTGTTGAAACTTTCCACTGCGTTTTGTAATTCTCTAAGTGTGCCTTTGATTTCCAGAAGTTGATTGGATTTTCTTTAAGATATCTATTTATAATTTTTTTCATTCATAACCTGAGTTGTTTTTTAAATTTTATTATTTTTTTCACCTTCTCTGCTATCTCCTTGAGCAGCTTAATAATCAATCTTTTAAATTCTTTATCTGGTATTTCAAAGATTTCATCTTGGTTTGGATCCATTGCTGGGGGGCTAGTGTGATCTTTCGGGGGCTATTGGAGAAACCTATTGTGTCATATTACTAGAATCATTGTTCTGATTCCTTCTCATTTGGGTATACTCTTTCTTCTAATTATTCTTGAATTTATTTTGTATTTGACTGTGTGGTTTTCTTAATTTTGTTTTTCCCCCTTAAGGATATAACTTTAATGTCTATAGTTTATCATAGCCTAAATCAGCTCTTGGTGCTATAGGGGTGAAGAAATCAGAGTTATTGGTTATAGAGAGTCTTTTTATGATTGCTTTCTCAGATGCTGGTTGTAATAGCAATGTACTCTGTGTGTGAGCAAGTTCACTGTCTCTTACAGGATTGGAATGGCAGAGGTCTGTTGAAGCTTATCTCATTTCCCCATGGTGTGCACGTTTGCATTTATTTATTTTCCCCATTATTTTATTTACTGGATTGAATAGTTCAGGCTTCAGGACAATGGGGGAGGTGTCCATGGGTAAAAACTGGATTTGGCTAAAGCATGTGATTAAATGCAATACCCAATGGTGGGTAGAGGTTCCAGCCTTGTCAGATGTGGCTGGGGAAGCTTTCAGTGAAACACACTAAGGTCTTATTAGAGGGAAGGGCTGGAGTCACCTCAGCTCCCCTGCCAGACCAACAGGAAAGTGATCTACCTCCTAGACACACTTCTGACCCAATGTTCTGGCTATTCAGATCAGATGGGCACCTCTTTTAATCTGCAGGAATGTTGATGTTCCAAGTAAAGAGGAACTGTGACTCTACTTCTCATGAAAACCTGAACCTGGAAGGTGCTTTTCCTGTGGGGAAGCAGTCACCCTGAAGTGTTCCAGAAAGGCTGTATATAGATAGGTGCACTCATGCCGAGATCTCATGGGAAAAGCTCCAGCTGTTTTCAGTGGTGGATGAGAAGGAAAAGAAGTCCCCTTCTCCAAGATCCTTCATGAGCACCAGGGCTGCCTGACTGTTGCCTGTACCTGTAGACTTTTCCTCGTGGGCCAGGACTTCAACTGTGCCGCTGTTGAAAGAAACTTCCTACCAGTGGAAAGATCTGGGACTCAATGCCTGCTGTCTAGGCTCTTTGTCCCATGGGGTGTTCCCTTGATTTAGTGCACTCCTCCTTCTCCTAGGAGTAGGAGTCCCTGAGACCCAGAATACTGTGAATGTTGTTGCTCCTCTGGGTCTAGTCACTCAGTGGGGCTGACATACTCCAGAGTCATGCTGGGGAGTGACTGCAAGGAATCCAGTGATGTTCCCTGTCCTCAACTCTCCCAGCAGCAGATACCAGTACCAGCTCTGATGGGGTGGTAGAAGAGTGACATTGACTGTGTGAGATTTCTTGGTTATAGATAGCCTTAGTTTGTTGGCTTTCTCAAATACTGGTTGTAGTAGTAACGAACTGGTCACATGAATAGACTCAAGACCCACCTGGTTAGCCAGAGTGGTGCAGACCATGGTGATAGATGGGGTCATGCACAAGATTTCTCCTTTCTGGGCACAGTGTTATTCTACCTGGAGATTCTGTAATGGACTATGTCAGTTGGCCTCTGGCCAGGATGTGGTGCTTACAAAACAGCACCAGTGGCAGTAGTAGCAATAGGATTTGTGCTTGCCTTATGTTACCCAGGGTAGGTACTCTAGTTTCTCAGGTGCTGGGCAGAACCATAAAGCTCCTGAAAGTTTCTGTCCTTTATGATTTGCTACGAGGGCAGGTGGAGGGGCAAAGCCAGATGGGGGCTGGGTCAGGCAGTTCAGCACTCTGGCTCTCCATGTAGGGGCAAGCAGTGGCCCCTGTGGGAGTCAGGGGAGCAGTTCTTTGGCCACAGGGGTAAAGTTCCAGAAAAAAAGTGTAGCTGTCTCTGCTACACAGAAGAGTTTGTGTAGGGAATGGGGAATAGCCAGCACAGTAAGCCTCACCTTGCTCCCATGCACTTGGCAAGGCAAATCTAACACCTGCAGTGTTCTGCTAGCAGCGGCGAGCTGAGTTCCATGTCGTCTGTGCTCAGAACCCAAAACTGTCCCAGGCTGTCATAAGACTTCCCCACAGAAATAGCAACCATGGCTTTCAGGCCACCCCCTCCGAGTCTGCCCTGCAAAGCCAGGGCACCCAGCTCTTGTGCTTGCGGCTGCAGCACACTTCCCACTCACCCCTGGTTCTGGCCAAGCCCCACTGGAGCTTATGATGTGAAATTCAGCTGGGAGCTTCTTTCAACCTGTGACCACTGCATGAATTAGGTAGCCAACTTCTGCGAGGTCACCCGTGAGGTGGACCAAGGAATGGTTTCCCTCGGTCCATACTGGAGACTGGAAAGGCAGCTACTGCTTCTGCTCCTACTTTCATATTCCTCACCATTCCCTAAGTCAGTTCCAGCACTGCATAAGGTTAAGGTCTTCCACCGTGGCCTGGATTTCCAGGTTTCCCAGTGGGGGTGTACATCCTGGAGGCAGTCTCTCTTCCTCTTACATTCTGGGAACTTAGATTTTTTGCTGTAGCAAGCTGCTTTGTTCAAAAGGTCTGTGGATTTCAGTTTGTTAAGTTCCTGCATTGCTTATTGGAAAAAAAATTTCACATGTGAATCTCTACACACTTATTTGTCTTTCCAAGTGGGAGAGGCACTCCAGTAGTGCCTCTAATCCACCATCTTGGGGGAAAAATAAAACTTAAATGTTACAAGTTTAAGATATATTTTTATTGAAGAGTGTGTTAATGGTTTAAAACTCTGAAGGAGACACCAGAGGAAACTTCATGAATACTATGGGCTTTTAAAATGGAATTTAGATGTTATTATCAAGAAAGATGTGTAAATTTTTTCCTATCACCCTTCTGAAGATGTCAGGTGTGATTCACTACTAGAATTTTATTCATTTAGTTGGAAAATATTCATGGATGGCTTGCTTGGTGCTACATATTGTTTTAGGTGTTGAGTATACAACATGAAATATAACACAGTCTCCACATTCAAAGAGTATGCTTAGTCTCATTTAGAAAAATATGTAAATTAATGTAAATCTATCACAATCATTTCCCCAACTCCCCGGGACTCTGGTTATTTCTTATAGACTCAGAAAAAAAAAAAGTGATACGTGTATTTAAAAGTTCCTTTATTTCTACTCTTATTCTATTTGTGAAATGGAATTTTCCTATACAAATAAATGTGGACTCTGCTGCACGAATTGAACAAAAGGGCTCATTTTCCTAAAGAACTGCTTACTTATGAAGTCTTGTGGTAATTCAGACATCTGGACAGCTGTGTTTAATCTGTACTTAGTTTAACTCTATTTGCATTCAAATTTTCTATAAAAATTCAAAATGTAAAGCATGCATACTCAGTTTCATCCTTAAAAATTTAATATTTTAATGAATCAGCCAATTTAGACATGCAAGCATGTGACCTGAGCTTAACTTCCTGGGTTGCTGCATGCATTATCCTAGTTCCTGGGGGAGAAGAAACATTAAGATGGCATCTATAATTTTAACCAGGTTACTAAAATTTAGTGCTCTGGCTGAGAGTTACTTCAAGGGAGAATAGAAATATCAAGCTTACAGAGGTTTGGAACAGAAAGATCTTTTTGTACTAACAATTCTACATAATGTAATTTTTAAAGAACAGCAAAGCATTGACCCAATAAATCTTTGCTAAAAAGAAACTTTGTTAAAGATTCATTAATTGAGGCAAAGGAAAATCTCTTGAAAAAGAGCAGATGTAGTTAGAATTAGCGCATTGAACTGAATGAATCATTCAACCACTCAATAAATTTCTTTAAAGTTGCTTTCTCCTGTTATAAGAGTGTCTGCTCATAGGAAGCACTTAAAAACATCCTATCTGGGGTGTTACGAAGCAGGGTCAAGCCATCCTGGGCTTCAGATGAACAATAAAGAGGTTTGGGGCAACCAGAAAATATATGGGATGGGGTGACAAAATCAGAAATTGCATATTTCTATCCAGTACCTTTGAAGGCCATAGCCTCAATTTGAATCCTTTAGTCTATTATAGACTAGGCAGAGTCTCCATAAGAAATCCAACTGTCTTATACAGACAAAGGAACAAACAAAAAGCCGAAAGGAAAACAAAACAAAATAAAAAATCCTGACATTTTATCCTTTATTATAGTGAATGTTATAAATTTTCTGAATGAATTTGTAATATTGCAGGAGATGAACACAAAGATAAACTTAACATTTTCTCTAAATTTGTCATGCTCTCCTTTCACCTACAAGCCTTTCTCCAGATCTTTCCTCTGCGACACTTTCCAAAGCCCCACATCTCCTTCAGCTGGTCAATGTCTACTCTGTTTTAGACTCTAGCACAATTAATACATACTCCAGGTAACTTTCTTAACCCACCTCCAAAGCCGTCCCCTAAAGAGAAAAGAGTTTTGGCACCCCTTTTATGCACATCCTAAATATTGTAAATGCACTCCATAAAAATATCTATTACAGGTTTCCCATTATACTATAAAAGGCAAATACTACATTTTTTATGCTTCAGTAGTAGTTCCTAGCACAATATTGAATAAGTAAATCCTAAAATAGCCAATCTTACCTAATCTAGGGCCCTATCTATAAAAAATAAATGTTTATTTATGTAATGATCAATGCAGTTATCTATCAACTCAATTGAGCTGTTATGCCACACTAAAATGGACATAATCGGAATACTTGTACAATAGTATAATTTCATTCATAAATGTATTCTTCTCTTCACAAATATTTACTGAGTTCTTATGTGCCAGGCACTGTATTAATTGTTGGACATACAATATAGGAAAAAACAGATATGGTCCCCTGTTCTTGAAAAAAGTGAATGGGACATTTTATTATTGTATATTCACTTGACCTGAGCTTGACTCTTGAAAAAATAGATCCTATCCAGAAGTAGAATAACCAAACATGCTAATTTTTGAATTTAATAGGCCTTCATCTAATGTTGATGGAATAAGAAAGAATGATGGCTTTGTAGATTTGATATGCCTGACCTATCAAATTTGGTTTATTTTAAAATGATTCTGAATTTACACAACTTACTAGTGAGGCAACTCACCAGTGATAAGATACTGTATGTGTGTGTGTGTGTGTGTGTGTGTGTGTGTGTGTGTGTGTGTATACTTTTAACTTGACATTAGGTTAAAAGTGGAAAAGGGGATAGAGCTAGGACATTTCAGGAAGCAAACCGGCATGTTTTTAATACTATGTGGAAAACAAAGAAAAGGGAAATACTGTGAAGTTAGAAAAGCTATCTGAAGCCACACCTACTTCTAAAAGTTTAGGAAAACTAAGAATAACATATCAGGTCTAATCCTATACATAGATATAACAAGAAAAATAGAATTATTAATAAGAACAACATAACATTTCTACAGATAATGACAACACACCAGAAGACATGCCCATGAACAAAACAAAAGAAACTAAAAGATATTGGGAAAATGATGCAAGTCATGAGAAAAGAGTTTAAATAAGAATTTTTTTAAAAACAGAAATGACTTGGAAACACAGAAACTTTTAAAACTTGGAAACCATTAGAAGTTTTTAAAAATCATTAAAACCAAAACTGGAAAAACATAAAAATGAACAAATAATAAATAATGCCTTCAGAACAATATGAAGATTGAAATATTTTAAAGATGAAAGAGATTAAAAAATTAAAATGATGTAGTGTATGTGTGTGTCTTTGTGTGTTTGTATATGTAGTTTATGTGTGTGTCTTTGTGTGTGTGTGTATATGTGTGTATATATAAAGAGCAAGTTGAAAAATTCGTATTACCTAGTGACATCATAGTGGTCATACTCACATGTTTATGGTGATGCTGTTGTAAACAAACCTAGTGCATTGTTCTCATAGGAGATGACAGTTCCGTGCTTGTTATTGCCCCTGAAGACCTTCCAGTGGGACAAGATGTGGAAGTGGAAAATATTGATATTGATGACTCTGACCCTCTGTAGGCATAGGATAATGTGTGTGTTTGTGTCTTATTCTTCTTTAACAAAAGCAATTAAAAAGTAAAAGAAAGTAAATACACTTAAAAATAGAAAAACCTTATAGAATAAGTATATAAACAAAAAATATTTTTGTAGAGCTATAAAATGTATTTTTATTTTAATCTACATGTTGTAAAAGAATAAGAAAGTTTAAAAATTTAGAAGTTTATAAAAGAAAAAAGCTACATGAGTGCAGGTTAATTTATTATTGAAGAAGAATGTTTTATAAATTTACTATAGCCTAAGTGTACAATGTTTATAAAGTCTAGAGTAGTATACAGTAATGTTCTAGGCCTTTACGTTTACTCACCAGTCACTCACTCACTCACCCATAGCAACAGCTAGTCCTGCAGACAGTATTCATAAATACTTTATGCAAGTGTCCCATTTTTTATTTTTTATGCCATATTTTTACTGTACCTGTTAGTCCAAACCACCATTTTATAAGCTTCCTGCTATTTTGCAGACCTTGGTCAAATTGAAACATTTCACAGGGGTTCAGGCAGTGAGAAACATCCTGCCTAACCACCTGACCACAAGACAGACAAATCCCAACCAAAGGCAAAGACCCAACTGAGGAAACATCTCTATCATATTCTGCTGGGGGAAAGTGCAAGGAACACCACATTCCGCTGGAACAAGGGCCAGAACTGCCTTATTATGGAACATCTTACCAATATCCTGCTGGGCAGCATGTCATTTCCCCCCAAGCCCCTCCTGCCCAGGCCTATGACTTGCTCCAGCTTGTGAGCAGCAGTGGATTCTGGCATTAAGCTGGTCCCCCATTTTCGCAGTGTCTGCAATATACCTGTGTTGCTGTTTGTATCTCCTTCTCTCTGTGTGTCTTTCTTTAACCCTAGTCTTCCCTTCAGAACCTAACAGTATCTTTTCCATGTTTAGATATGTTTAGATACACAAATACCTACTATTGTGTCCCAATTGCCTGTAGTTTTCAGCATAGTAGCATGCTCTACAGTTTTATAGCCTAGGAACAATAGGTTGTACCATTTGGCCTAAGTGTATTATGGGCTGTACCATCTAGGTTTGTATAAATACCCTTTACAATGTTCACACAATGACAAAATTGTCTAATGATACATTTCTTAGAATGTATCTTCTTTGTTAAATGACATGACTGTTTATATACACACATATGTATATATACATACACATAAATATTAGTGAAGAAAGTATATCCAACTTAGGAATAATAGAAATCTCTGAAGATAAAAACAAAAGCAAATAAGCCAAACTAATATTGAAAGCTATAATTTAAGAGAACATTTCTGAATTTTAAAGAATGATTTGTAACTGCTTAATGAAAAAATACACTACATACTTCGGAATATAACTTAAAGTGAATAAAACCAAGACATAGTCTATAAAATTACTGGATAATTTATAAAAACATAAATAAATAGAAAATTCTTTTAGATATCAAAGGAGCTCTTTGCTTTTGCAAAAAGCTCAAGTGACTCATAAGGGAAATAAAATTAGCTTGTCATCAGACTTTTCAACAGCAATTTTTCTATGCCAGACTAAACTAGAATATATTTAAGATACTAAATATGGACAAATAAATGTGGAAAAATAATTTTATATCTAGCAAAACTGACTTTTAATTATAATGGACACAGATAAACTTTTATCATCATGCAAGAACTCAAGGAATATTTTTCTCAAGAATCCTGAGGCATTTCCTAAGGAAAAAGCTTCAGACAATCAAACAAGTACAGTCACCTACATAAAAACTTGTGGTACAGTTACTTATAAAGACAAAATGAGTGTAAAAAAGGAAGGAGTGTAATAATGGCTATATGATCCAAAAATATAGTATAGTTCAACCATTTTAATGGTTAGAGAATATAAAAGATATTTTATTAAATTTTGTAAGTTCAATTTTTTTCAGTAAGCTTATCAGTGGTTGCAGTATTCATACTATCATTCTGAAATACTTGTGTGTGAAATATATTATAAAGCAAGTCATTCATTATAGGAAACTCAAGTTCCTTTCATCATGTGTTCTTGAAAACCAGAATTCCTGGTTGGAAGAATGGAGATACAGATGTAATACAAAAGAAGTGGAAGAAGTTAAGCAAAAAATGTGATAGTCCTGAATTTGATTTGGAAATATCAGTTTAAACTCATGAGGTTATTCTTAATATTATATATTACATATGTATGTGTATGTGTGTGTATGTGTGTACCCCATGATTTCCATCTTGACCAATCAAACACTATTCTCAATACTGTTGTGAATGGATTTGTAGATGTAATTAACATCCCTCAAATATGGAATATATCCTGGTTAGCTGGCTGAATCACAGGAGCACTTTAAGAGCAGAGAATTTTCCTCTGTGGGTTGTAAAAGAGGTTAGAGGTTCAAAGCACGAGGGAGATTTGGCATACAGTGCCTGCTTGAAGATGGAGGGGATGCGTATACAAAGAACTAGAACAAGGTCTCTAGGATCTGAAAGTGACCACCAGTCAAAAGCCAGCGAGGAAATGAAGACGTCAGCCTGATAGCCTGAATCTGTCAACAACCTGAGTAACCTTGAAAGTAAATTCTTATCTAGAACCTCCAGATAAGAATGCAATTCATCTAATACTTTCATTTCAGCCTTATAAGACCCTAAGAGAACCCAGGCATGCAATGCTGAAGGTCTGCACTACAGAACTGTGAGAGAATTAGTGCACGTTCTTTTAAGTCTTGACATTTGTGATATTTGTTACGTCACAATACAAAACCAATACAGTCTTGAAATATTTTTGTTATACTAGATAGTAAGGAAGCCATCAGAATACTAGAGTCATATTGAAAAGACTCAAGATTCTATTTGAATGACAATTTGTCCTGGCTAAAGACAGGACCACCTAAGCTTTAATAAAAATGTTTGAAATGGATAAATCCAGAAAATATGTTTAATCTCATATGGTCATCACAATATTAAATAAATGCTCACATAGGGGTGAAGAAAGGGAAACAACTGATCTTCAAAGGTAGTAAATAAAATAGAACATTTATTATGTGTCTCTTCTCTATATTTGAACTGTAAATAAGGAGTAGATGAGGAAAAGTGTCCCTTTATAGAGGTTTTCAGTCTAATACATTATAAGAAATGATGGCATTAAATTATCACCATTTTGCTGCTTCTTAATGGATCCATGCATTGAGCATCAACACCTACTAATATCATGAAAAAAGCGACCGGAAACAATGTTCTTGATAAAAGAATATAATACCATCTACAGTCTTATCGAATAGATAGAATTTGAGTCCAGTCAAGGCTTTGGATCCAGCTTCCAATTGTCAGGAAACATAAAGGACACATCAACATGATGAACTATACTATGAGGTTTCAATCTCTAAAATCTAGTCTGTGGGAAATTCTAAGATCAATTGGCCTAAGTTCTTCAGGATGCAAATTGTAAGCAAATGGAAGGGATAAAGAGAGAAGCTGAAGGTTAAAAAGCAAAAAAGAGACATATCAAATGTTCAGTTTAGTTTTTTTAGGAAGACTAAACTATACTATCTAAGGAGACAAGCTAGACTAATAAGGCTAAAAGGCAGCAAAGAAGTGACTTCTCTGAAAAACGGGTTAGTGGTTTCTTTTACGAGGAGGGAAGCAGTTGTGATTGTGTTGGGTCACAAGGACAGGCTTGCTGTCAAAATTTTATTTTGATCTGTTTGCTAATTACAAGGATGTTTGCTTTATAATAATCTATTCAACTATGTATTTACTTATTTCATTGGTTGTGTTTTTATGTATGTGTTATTTTATAACTAAATGAATTTAAAAGACAGAGAGAATCTACCTAGCATCTCTTTCATTTTCGCCTGGGTATATGTGTTTTCATTATCACTATGGGTATTGCTGCATTTGGGTTGTGCCACATCCCTCTGGATTACATTAATAATTAAGAAAATACTCTATATTTTCTGTGTGCATCCAGCTGTGCAATATTGTTAATAACCTCAATTTTAGATTTCTTGCTGATGTTGATATAATTATAACTCACCTATCCTTTTCCATATTAACTTACATATATTAAACATAGATATTTTTATGTCTATGGAGTTTTATTAAAGAGGATGTCATCTTATACTATCTGTTTTCCTCCAAATTTCTCTGAGTAAAACAACCAAGACAACCTGGGACTTCTCCAATCACACTGCTTTCCTCTATAATTGAGACAGTTTTCTTAAGTCCTTTCCAAGCTAATAACCAAATCTCCAGGCCTGGCTCAAAAGCAGGCTACAAACTTCAACTTGAGGATTGGGGAGCATTCCTAGGTTCTTCTGCAATCTGAGCAACTCATTTCATCTAGCCTAGTAGTGGCTTCTTTGAACAAGTTTCAGTGCAATGATTCTCAGTGCTGGCAGTTCATTAAAGCCAACTGGAGGCACTTTAAAAAAATATCCACTGATCCTCCCCCAGACCAATTAAATAATATCTGTGGGTGCTAATTTGTATTTTTTTCCAAAGATCCTCAAGGCGTTTAATGTGCTGTATGATTGTGAACAACAAGACAAATGAGTTGTAAGAAACTTTTATTAACATATCTAATTCTTCTGTGATGTGAATAATAAATGAGTGAATAAAAGGAACAAACTATTCTATAAATTATCTGTGTTAACGTTTTGCCTGTTAGTTATTGTTAAAGGCTGGCATCTATTAATATCCCAATATATGTTAAGATGAAAGAGGAGAATAAGAAAATGAGAGAGAAGCATTGTTTTGTGGTTAGGATTAAGTTTGAATTACTGCCCAGACAGAAAAGCCTCTGGAAATCTTACATATTTTATAGCAACACAATTCAATTTACATATTCTCTACTACTATGAAGGTTTAAAAAGATCTTATTTTCTATTCTGTCATTCATTTATGGTCATGGTAACATATTAGTAATGCAAAATAAGTGTCACGTGGTAAGTTTATACAGTTTTTTGTTGTTTTTATTGTTTGTTATTTCAAGCAGTTGCATTAGAGAAAAGATATGATTCGGAATTCTGACCAGGAAATTTACATCTCTCCATGGTAATTTGAAATAAATAAATTCAACAAAAGATAGATCATCTAAGATTATTTCATTTGAAAATAACATGTTTTTGATTAAAAGTGGCTTAAACAATGAAAGTTTAATATGTGACAAAACAAGAAATTCAGAATACATTGTTGTAGACATGATTCAGTGATGTCAGTCTTATTGGCCTGGCTTCTCTTAATACTCACTTAATACCTACAAGCACCAAAGCACCAAGCACTATAACTTACACACACAAAAACAAAACAATGCAAAGGAAGAAGGAAAGAGATTTTCTTCTTATTCATGTCTTTGTATCACAGAAGAAATATTCCAGGAAAATTTTCAATTTCCCTTTTCCATATTGGGCTTGAAGGTAGAGAAAAATGAATCTCTGCATTTTCAGCCTTATTATTTCCTTCTAGCAGCAAAGAAATAATATGGTTGGAAATAGTGTTTACTAGGTGACTAGGGGAATCTAGGACAATAGTTCTTTGTCTGCGATACAGATCTCTTGTTGCCAAATGGCATAAATCGAGTGAACATTTTTCTGAAAGATATAAAAATAAAAGATGCACAATTTCAAGTAAAGTATGCAGTGTGATGAGTCTCTCTGCCTATATTCACCAGTGTTTCTCAAGCTTCAGTGTGCACAAAATACACACGGGCATTTGTTAATCGACCCAGACTGAAAGATAGTAGGTGGATCTCAGCATAGGGTTGAGCTCAGTTAAGGACAGGAATCAGATGGTTCACATTTTGAGAAACATTCTATACTAAATATTAATGATCCCAAAATAATTATCTTGAAGTCTTACCTATTTATAAAGCTGATGAAAATCTCCAGAACCAAGTTTATTCTAGCCCACTTGCATTTGTTAGGTAGCCCCTGAAGTGGTTTTTCCTTGCTGTTGGACCTTGCCCATAATTAATGTGTCTCGTCACAGAGACTCAGCCATCCTTACTCAGCAAAATCGCTCAAGATTGGCCACAGGCCCCTGGATGCTTCGATCTAATGTCCATTATAAACAAAATGTCCACTGCCTCACTCTCTCACTAGTTTTAATTAATTAAAAACTCCCCAGTCATCAGGAAGTCATATGCTCAGCATGCCGCTGTGACAGGACAACTTATCAAATTACCCTCTTCCTTAGGAGAATTAATTCATCATATTGCTAAATTATTTCCTGTCTTTGTTTCAAATGCCAAGATTTTTTTTCCCTCTTCTGTCTGACTTAGGATAAGCAAAGTGTCTTAAATCTTTTTTATTTAATAGCATAATCCATGAAACACAGTCAATTATTTTTGATATTTTAAAGAAACACAATTTTCTAATAACCAAATAAAATTATATCACTGGTTTACGACATGATTTGGCAAAGATGTCATAAGTAAATCCAATCCATTTCTTATCATTATGGCCCATAAACACCATTTCTATTATTTCTATTTCAAAGTCAGCTGTTTTTACCTTTATGTCTGTCACCCCAAATCCTGATCATACATTGCCTATGCTATTCATCCATTATTTAACTGGTAGCGAATGTAAATAAAAGTAAGTAATTTCAAGCTTCACACTCACTTTTCAAAATAAGAGTGATCGGAAAGAAAATTTGATTTAATTTTACAAACCCCAAAAGAGTAATATTTTATGGATTCTAGAATGACCTGTGGTGCCACACTGCCTTATGCTAATGTCCATCTTAATACTTACAACACTATATTACCCTTTTTGATTTTCACTCTCCTCTGATTGGAACTAATAAAAATGAAAGCAGCAAATGACATCATTCACTTCTGTATCTCAATGCGTAGCACATTGTCTGCCACCCGAAGTCATTTTCTCAGCAAGTCATCTCCTTCCATCTATTTTTTCACAATGCCGATATATCATAGAACATAATATTACAAATGTTACTGACTCACCTGTTTTAGTTCTATTCTGACTCATACAAAGAAATAATTATTTTACAGAAATAATCCAATATTAAGAAGACACAAAGTTCAGTTTTGTCTGATTGATTTTATTTATTGCTGAATTATGCAAGTTGATTTAATGTTCAAAAACGAGTTTCCTAAGATTAGCTCAGTAATAAATCTAAAACTATCCAATTCAGGTGAGCTGCTTCTAGTTTTGAAGAGTCTTGAATTTGTCAGCATACGATTTTCTTCAATGATATATTCATAATTAAATTTAGTATTACCCTTTGGCTGATGACCAAGAAATTGAAGTAATATTCAGCTATGAGAATGCTATCAATCTGTCAGTAGTTTTCAAATTGTGTTTCATAGCCCATTCACAGAATGTTTAACAGTGGGAAATATAAGGTTAAATTATCAAATATGTGAAGTACGTTTTGGTTAAGTAAAAATTAAACACTTAAAAAATAACTGCAGTTCTCCTTGAAGAGGTCCTTCACATCCCTTGTAAGTTGGATTCCTAGGTATTTTATTCTCTTTGAAGCAATTGTGAATGGGAGTTCACTCATGATTTGGCTCTCTGTTTGTCTGCTATTGGTGTATAAGAATGCTTGTGATTTTTGTACATTGATTTTGTATCCTGAGACTTTGCTGAAGTTGCTTATCAGCTTGAGGAGATTTTGGGCGGAGACGATGGGGTTTTCTAGATATACAATCATGTCACTGCTTAATGAAATAAAAGAGGATACAAACAAATAGAAGAACATTCCATGTTCATGGGTAGGAAGAATCAATACCATGAAAATGGCCATACTGCCCAAAGTAATTTATAGATCCAATGTCATCCCCATCAAGCTACAAATGACTTTCTTCACAGAATTGGAAAAAAACTACTTTAAAGTTCATATGGAACCAAGAAAGAGCCCACATCTCCAAGTCAATCCTAAGCCAAAAGAACAAAGCTGGAGGCATCACGCTACCTGACTTCAAACTGTACTACAAGGCTACAGTAACCAAAACAGCATGGTACTGGTACCAAAATAGAGATACAGACCAATGGAACAGAACAGAGCCCTCAGAAATAATGCCGCATATCTACAACTATCTGATCTTTGACAAACCTGAGAAAAACAAGCAATGGGGAAAGGATTCCCTATTTAATAAATGGGGCTGGGAAAACTGGCTAGCCATATGTAGAAAGCTGAAACTGGATCCCTTCCTTACACCTTATACAAAAATTAACTCAAGATGGATTAAAGACTTAAATGTTAGACCTAAAACCATAAAAACCCTAGAAGAAAACCTAGGCAATACCATTCAGGACATAGGCATGGGCAAGGACTTCATGTCTAAAACACCAAAAGCAATGGCAACAAAAGCCAAAATTGACAAATGGGATCTAATTAAACTAAAGAGCTTCTGCACAGCAAAAGAAACTACCATCAGAGTGAACAGGCAACCTACAGAATGGGAGAAAATTTTCGCAACCTACTCATCTGACAAAGGGCTAATATCCAGAATCTACAATGAACTCAAACAAATTTACAAGAAAAAAACAACCCCATCAAAAAGTGGGCAAAGGATATGAACAGACACTTCTCAAAAGAAGACATTTATGCAGTCAAAAACACATGAAAAAATGCTCATCATCACTGGTCATCAGAGAAATGCAAATCAAAACCACAGTGAGATACCATCTCACACCACTTAGAATGGCGATCATTAAAAAGTCAGGAAACAAGAGGTGCTGGAGAGGATGTGGAGAAATAGGAACACTTTTACACTGTTGATGGGACTGTAAACTAGTTCAACCATTGTGGAAGTCAGTGTGGCGATTCCTCAGGGATCTAGAACTAGAAATACCATTTGACCCTGCCATCCCATTACTCGGTATATACCCAAAGGATTATAAATCATGCTGCTGTAAAGACACATGCACACATATGTTTATAGCAGCACTATTCACAGTATCAAAGACTTGGAACCAACCTAAATGTCCAACAGCGATAGACTGGATTAAGAAAATGTGGCACATATACACCATGGAATACTATGCAGCCATAAAAAAATGATGAGTTCATGTCCTTTGTAGGGACATGGATGAAGCTGGAAACCATCATTCTCAGCAAACTATCACAAGGACAAAAAACCAAACACTGCGTGTTCTCACTCATAGGTGGGAATTGAACAATGAGAACACATGGACACAGGAAGGGGAACATCACACACCAGGGACTGTTGTGGGATGGGGGAAGGGGGGAGGGATAGCATTAGGAGATATACCTAATGCTAAATGATGAGTTAATGGGTGCATCATACCAGCATGGGACATGTATACATATGTAACAAACCTGCACGTCATGCACATGTACCGTAAAACTTAAAGTATAAAATAATAAAATTAAAAAAAAAATAAAAATAAATTAAAAATAAATAACTGCAGGACTTCTTAACTAAAAACTTGTTAATGTGGATTTTAAAATGCTAAAGCAGGTGTGAGTATGTGGGTGTGTAGGGGTAATATTCTAGCATGAAAAACATCTAGGTGATTTTGATCAGGAACTGTATTTTGTTCCGTTTTACTTCAAAAAATCATTTTCCACTGTTCTGCTAACAATAGAAAAATGTCCTTTGCTACATGGTCTGAGAAGAGACAATAGCCTTAAAGCTAGGGTACAGGCAAGTTCTTCTCAGCTGTGAATGCACAGTGCATGTGGATACAGAGGATGGATAGCTGGAAACTTCCTGTTAATAATTCTGTAGTATCAGGCTTATGAGCAAGATCGGAGCTGGTTCACATCAGGAAAGATGGGATCTTTTGATCTAGACAGGACAGTAAGCGAGGGAGAAATTTGGAAAATGCCAGGATTCCAATAGCATTGTTTAGGAGCAGGGAGGCTAATAAAGAGTATGATTATGCACTTAATATACGGAATTCTAATGAGATGAGGTTTTCGTGACTTAGAGGAAAACAACTGAAGCCATGCAGTGTGTGTGAGAGACTTCCTTCTGGGTCTTAGAGGCAACCACTGAGGATGAAAGGCATTAGAGAGCGGTTGCCGAGTTTGTCAAGTTAACTGAAATATTTGGAATCACAGATCTTTAACTTACCTCTTCTGTGTGCACATAATTTGCAATTGGGATTCCTTTATACCAGAATTTATCAAAGGTATAAAATCCTTTATACCAGAACGTATCAAATTATTTGTCAGTGAAATAATTGTTTAGATGTTTATCTCTTACCTACAACTGTAAAATTAAAAGCTCTATGAAGAGGCTAGAAAATATGCTTTAAACAGCAAATACTCCATGTGGCTTTAAGCCTACTGAAGTCTGGTAAGAGCTATTTTATATTAAAAATTTAAAAGTTCCTTAAGGTGGATTAATGCATGTACCAATTTGTAATGAAGTATGTACGTGGGGCTGAGAGGGTTTGCATGGGGCTGAGAGAAGTGCTAAAGGAAGCAAGAACCAGATTTTCTGGGAATTGGTTAGAAAATAATCACAATGTTTCCGTTTCCCAAGTTTGGAGCATGCGGTAATGAGATAGCACAATGAGGAAAAGTTATATGACCAAGTAGTAGTGACTTTGAGATGTTGTATGTTTATAGGAACTTGGGGGCCCTGGTTCTCCACATATGCCTTTCTGTTTTCCCCCCAGATTTGTCTTGTTATGGTGATAGTTTTCAAAAGCCATTATGAAAAATAAACTAGATAGACTGAAACATATAAAACATGCATTTAAATTTGACCAATTCCTAATAGATTAAAATTGGTATTTTTAAGAGTGTGGTATCTTTTTAGAGGTGCAAATATCTCATGACTCTTTATTTTGGATTTTTGTCACCACCAATCACTCTGAAACCAATATATAAGTTTAACTTAAACTCTACCCATTAGGTTAAGCAATCTGAATAATCTTACAGTTTGTTTAGTTGTTTATCTTTAGAGCAAATTATTCTTGGAACATCTTTCTTGGAACTTCAAATGCAGAGGATACGTAGGAAAGTCTTTCTACTCCATTAAAATTTGCCACCAATTTTAAGTGTATCTATTAAAGAGAATGTGAGATAAATGTGATTTTTTTGGATAGGAGACCACTTTTGACATACCCCTGATTTCACAGAGCCTAGTAATATCTTTCTAACATTAAAGTTTTAATTAAGGACTAACCAGGCCATTAAAAATAATGGATATTACTTTCTAGGTTATATTGCTCATTATATTTACTTATCAGGAGATTTTTACAACCAGAAGAAAAAAAAAACCCATAGATTTTAAATACAGCCACATAAACAGCAAGTGCTTATGTATTAATATGTGTTATTTCTGCAAAATTTTACATTCAAGTAAGTATCCTTATGGGTGCTTATCCTCTTAAATGATTCATCAATAATCAAGAAGTAAAAAATGCAAGAATGAAAATATTCATCTCACTTCTCATTATTCTGTTCCTCTTCCTGAAGAAAACAACATCTGTTTTTAAATCTTTCCAGAGATACTTTTATATGTTTTTTAATTTTTTCCAGAAAATATATATATATAAATTAAATACAAATGCATATATATTTTCCCCTTTATCAAACAAATGATTATATGTACTGTTCTGAATATTGTCATTCTGAAATCCAGTCTCTCTTCAGCCAACTTTAAATAATGTTTAAAAAAACTTAACCAATACAATTTAATTCCAGAGCAAGCATATAAGATTTATAAATAAAAAGTAATGCATAAATATCATGCCATAAAATTAATTTCATTGATATTGTAAATTACTTATATGGTAGTAACAACTTCTCCTAACCTACTCTGACTCACTGACAATTTTTAAGAGAAGTGCTCAAACTTATGAAAACTCCTTATGTGAGTTTAAAAGTAAAATTCTGAATAATATTATTATTCTATTTCTATTACAAAATTATCTTTTGTCTGCTTCCTGTTGATCAGCCTTATCTTGGAGCAAATAATTTCAGAATATATCAATTGGCCTGAACCATCTTACAGTTGAAAAGACAAGCCATTTTGTGTTAGTCAAACAGGCGCAACCTATTCTTAGATAGCATACAACAAATTTAAGATTTCTACCAGACTAGTAACCTAAAGCTTCTTTTCTTTGTCTTTAATACACAGTAAATTATTCAATAAGCACAAATGAATATATTTATATTCAACTTCTAAAAATAATCAGTTGAATTTTTACATTGTAGCAAGAAATATTAACCTAAAAAAGACGAGACCATTTTATGAAATAAAAATCTTGCTGCTACTCAAATATCATTGTAACTCATTGTCATATATACTTGTATCTGTTTATTTTCTCTTATCTCACAAAGGGAATTTTGCTGCTTCATAGCAGTAATCTTCCTATTTCCTTCATTATATCTACAGACCTACTTGAGCCTATATGAGTATTCTATTACAACCAGAAAATTATTCTCACTCTATCAAATGTGAATCTCTCCAGATGCCTCTGGGTCTCTTCCAATTAAATTTCTCTGCTCCTCTGCCATAGCCTCTATCCTGTGACATTAGACTCTCCCTGTTCACTGGCTTAGCCTACCAACATACTTCTATCTTTTAAAGAGTGCCAAAAAAACCCCCAAAAAACAAAAACACCTTCCACCGCCCCCCCAACCAAAATATTACAGACTCCACATTGACTCCATACCTCAATCCAGCAATTTCCCAATTCTTCTTATGTACTTTATAGTAAAACTTGGTACTTGGCTTCCTTCTCTGATCTCATCTACTTTCACTCTTTCCCCTGGAAGAGCATACCTGTTTTCTTTCTGTTGTAAACTTCAGCATACCTGTTTTATTTCTGTTGAGTTCACTACTACTTTCTCCCCCATAGAATCTTGCCCTCCCCAGAATGTTCTTTCTTCAGCTGTTTGCAAAGTCTCATCTTTAAGATCTTTCCACAGAGATTATCCTTCCTTAAGTACCCTATTTAAATGACTTGCACCCCCCCTCTTCCTGTTAACACATATTCATACCCTGCAAATTGCCAACTCTCAAATTTATGTGTTTTCTTATTTGTTTATATCTTCCCTTCCCCAACATCGATGTTGTTACAAATCACAGGATTTCAATCTTTTTTATGACTGAATAGTATTCCATTGTGTGTGTATATATATATACATATATGTGTGATATAAGATTATGTCATCAGCAAACAAAGGCAATTTAATTTCCTCCTTTCCAATTTGGGTGCCTTTTATTCCCTTCTAGAATGTAAACTCTATGAGAGTAAGTTCCCCCACTTGCACAGTACCTAGGACATACTAGTCACCCCCAATAAATATTTGATAAATGATTAGATTGCTGGTCTAGGTCCTAGGTGCTATGTACAGATATTGAGGGGAGGAAGATTTTGGCTTTTTCTGTACTCAGAAAAATATATATTTACTGTTTATATAAATTTACACGGTATCATTTACATATGATACCTGGGAAACATGGAGATGCACTTACAATCAAATGGAGAAACTGATGTAACTATAGTTTCTATTCCAAGTGTTGTCCTGTGAACTCAATATGACTTCTATGGCTTCAGGAGTCCAGAAATTAACAGAACTGGAGTTCATTTTTTGTTTGTTTTGTTTTGTGTTTGTTTGCTTGCTCTTTATAAGTCATGGAAAATATCTAGGCAAGAATAGTCAGAAGCTAGCAGAAGTTTGTAAGAAGTATTTTAAGGCTCTGGAGACAAAAGCTTAGTTATAATTAGGGAAGAAAAACTTTGAAACCTTGAGGTCTGTAAAAAAAATCTGTAATCAGTCATGGGTAGGAAATAGCTGGCAATATCCAGTGGCTCTGCACCCAGAAGAAGTGAACATGTGAGAGCCAGAATAGACAAGGAAAAAAATGAGGTGAATATTGCAGAGTGATCACAGTTGACAGAATGGTTCTAAATATACATGAGAAACTCTGTAAGCAACTCATAGAAACAATGGGCTGACACTTGAGTTGAACTAATTTCCAGCAATCAAACTGGTATGGGTTAAAGTTCCCATAATTTATTCATTAAAAATTAAATATATGTATATGTATATACAGTATGACCTAATACTCTCAAAATGAAAACTCTATGACATCTGGGGTACACTGGTTAGGATCATTGCATTTCTGCTATGTTTGACACAAATCTCAATAGAAGCATTTTCTCATATTAAATTTCCCAAATATTCAGAAGATAATAACAGATAGAAAATATTTAGAATCTATATAGAGCTTCCCTAATTCGATTTTGCAGTATTTCCAATTGGATCAACAGTGAATTATCTTTATTAAATTTTAATATGCTCTAAATAAATTGTATCACAATGACTGTTTTTCTTTCTTTTCAAAAATCAACAAATACAGTATTTGGAGTAAATGTCACATTCTACATGATAAAAATGTAGAACATGATATTTTGAAGTACATATACATTGTCAAATGGTTAATCTAGCTAATTAACAAATGTGTTCCTATTTCTCCACATCCTCTCCAGCACCTGTTGTTTCCTGACTTTTTAATGATTGCCATTCTAACTGGTGTGAGATGGTATCTCATAGTGGTTTTGATTTGCATTTCTCTGATGGCTAGTGATGATGAGCATTTTTTCATGTGTTTTTTGGCTGCATAAATGTCTTCTTTTGAGAAGTGTCTGTTCATGTCCTTCGCCCACTTTTTGATGGGGTTGTTTGTTTTTTTCTTGTAAATTTGTTTGAGTTCATTGTAGATTCTGGATATTAGCCCTTTGTCAGATGAGTAGGTTGCGAAAATTTTCTCCCATTTTGTAGGTTGCCTGTTCACTCTGATGGTAGTTTCTTTTGCTGTGCAGAAGCTCTTTAGTTTAATTAGATCCCATTTGTCAATTTTGGCTTTTGTTGCCATTGCTTTTGGTGTTTTGGACATGAAGTCCTTGCCCATGCCTATGTCCTGAATGGTAATGCCTAGGTTTTCTTCTAAGGTTTTTATGGATTTAGGTCTAACGTTTAAATCTTTAATCCATCTTGAATTGATTTTTGTATAAGGTGTAAGGAAGGGATCCAGTTTCAGCTTTCTACATATGGCTAGCCAGTTTTCCCAGCCCCAGTTATTAAATAGGGAATCCTTTCCCCATTGCTTGTTTTTCTCAGGTTTGTCAAAGATCAGATAGTTGTAGGTATGTGGCGTTATTTCTGAGGGCTCTGTTCTGTTCCATTGATCTATATCTCTACAATTTTACACTGTTGGTGGGACTGTAAACTAGTTCAACCATTGTGGAAGTCAGTGTGGCGATTCCTCAGGGATCTTGAACTAGAAATACCATTTGACCCAGCCATCCCATTACTGGGTATATACACAAAGGACTATAAATCATGCTGCTATAAAGACTCATGCACACGTATGTTTATTGCGGCATTATTCACAATAGCAAAGGCTTGGAACCAACCCAAATGTCCAACAATGATAGACTGGATTAAGAAAATGTGGCACGTATACACCATGGAATACTATGCAGCCATAAAAAATGATGAGTTCATGTCCTTTGTAGGGACGTGGATGAAATTGGAAATCATCATTCTCAGTAAACTATCACAAGAACAAAAAACCAAACACTGCATATTCTCACTCATAGGTGGGAATTGAACAGTGAGATCACATGGACACAGGAAGGGGAATATCACACTCTGGGGACTGTGGTGGGGTGGGGGGAGGGGGGAGGGATAGCATTGGGAGATATACCTAATGCTAGATGACGAGTTGGTGGGTGCAGCACACCGGCATGGCACATGTATACATATGTAACTAACCTGCACAGTGTGCACATGTACCCTAAAACTTAAAGTATAATTAAAAAAAAAAAAAACAAATAAAACAAATGTGTAACCTTACACAGTTATGGTTTTTGTGGTAAGAGAACATAATATTCACTGTCTTTACATTTTTCAAAAATAAAATGTATCATCATTAACTAAAGTCATCTTGCTGTACAATAGATCTCTTGAAATGTATTCCTCTTATCTAACTGCAATTATGTATCCTTTGGCCAACATCTTTCCAACTCTCCACCCCTTAACTACTCCAGCCTCTGATAACCACCATTCTACTCTCTACTTCTATGTGTTTAACATTTATATATTCCATATGAATTAGATAATGCAGTATATGTTTTTCTCTTCCTGGCTTATTTCACTCAATGTAATGTCCTCCAGGTTCATTCATATTGTTACAAAGGACAGGATTTCAATCTTTTTTAATAACTGAATAGTATTTCATTGTGTGTGTGTGTATGTGTGTGTGTGTATATATATATATATATATATGTATATAAAATAAAATAAGATTATGTCATCAGCAAATAAAGACAATTTAATTTCCTCCTTTCCAATTTGGATGCCTTTTATTTCATTCTCTTTGTTGTTGCTCTAAAAAGAATTCTCAGTAATATGTTGAATAGAAGTGGTGCTAGTGGGCATCCTTGTCTAGTTTGAGATCTTAGAGGAAAACTTTCAACTTTTCTCTGTTCAGTATAATGTTAGTTGTAGGTTTGTCATATATGGCCTTTATTGTGTTGAGGTATATTCTTTCTACACCTCATTTGTTGAGAATTTTTATCATAAAGAAATGTGAATTTTGTTGATTTTTTCTGCATCTATTCAAATGATCATATGACGTTTGTTCTTCATTCTGTTAATTTTATGTAGCATGCTGTTTTGATTTGCATATAGTGAACCCATCCTTGCATTCCTGGTATGAATACCACTTAATCATGGTGAAAGATCTTTTTTAATGTGTTGTTGAATTTGGCTTGCTAGTATTTTGTTAACAATTTTTGCATCTATGTTCATCAAACCTGTAGTTTTCTTTTTTTTGTTGTTACCAATAATAGTTTTTCTGGGAGTAAGGAAGAATCTGGCATGACAAAATAATTGAAAAAAACAGATATGTATAAATACAAATTTCATATTCCTTGAAAAATTGGAGAATTATAGTTTGAACTATATAAACCTTGTAATATTTAGCCAAAGTATGATACATAGAACAAAGTAAACATCATATACTTCAGTATAATTTTGATCAAAAATAGCTTTCTGATGGAGCACATAGAATGAAACTAATTTATACCCCAAAATTTTATATTCACAGTTCAAGAACTGTACATTCCTTTGAATAAAGTAGAAAAAAAAGATGAATCAGCTTCTCTAACTGCACAACAGACAAAAACTACAAAAAAAATGCTCACAGGTAGGATTTTTAATTCCACTGGTTTGTAAAGATCTACCACAGTCTAACACTAACTGTCCCTTTACTTGAAGGAGACTTAAATCATAGGCTTCTCAAAGGAAGACAATTTTGATGGTTTCAGTAAGAATTTTTTTAAAGTATTGAGAAGAAGAGTAAAATATGCATTACCAGCCATGGTGAGTTACAAAACCAGTGGGTCTCTTACATCTCCTCATTTAAATTTTTGTCTAGGAAAACATGACATCTGTTTTCAGTAGTATGATTGAGAAGATATCCTTTAAAAAAGTCTAAAATAAATGAATAAAACAAAGAGACCCAAAGGGAGTGTCAGTGGTAATGGTATGTCTTATTTCTTACACTGAGTAGTGGGGTTGGGGGGCATGTATTTTACCATTATGCTTCATTTCAAATAAATAATGTTTATTTGTGTATGTGAGTGTCTTTCCTTCATTTATTTATAATAATTATTTTATAATAGTAAAGAAAAAATCAGGAACAATATTGCATTTATATATTACAACTAGAACTATTTATATACAGCATAAGAATCTTGTACATTAAAAGTAAAAAAAAAAAATACTGCAAAGAAAAATACCAATGGAGTAATAGTGACTTTCAGTTGTAGGAATGTAGATCATTGTTTTTCCTTTAAAATTTTTCTATAGCTTCAAATATTTCATAGTAAGTCACTTTTCATAAAGCTTTTACTTATTTTATTAGAAATAAAAGGAACACTGAAAAATAATACACAAATAAAAATAGAAATGAAAACTGTGTCTACACAAAATTCTTTATGTACTTATTCATAGCAGCTCTATTTGTAATAGCAAAATAACAGGAAACAGTCTGGATGACCTTCAGTGGGTGAGTGGTTGAATAAACTGTGTTATACTCATACAGTGAAATACTACTTAGAAATGAAAATACGCAAATAACAATCTGAACACATCTCAAGGTCATTATGATGACTGAAAATGTCAATCCCAAAATGTTACATAGCATATGATTCCACTTACATAACATTCTCAAAAACAGTGATAGTAGTGGGAAGCTCATTAGTGGTTGTCAGAGTTCATGGATGACAACGGGGAGGAGGGTTAGTGTGACTATCAGGGGTA
This sequence comes from Homo sapiens, assembly GCF_000001405.40. NCBI lineage: Eukaryota > Metazoa > Chordata > Mammalia > Primates > Hominidae > Homo > Homo sapiens. The sequence continues at coordinate 83,301,876 of NC_000007.14, forward strand.
GCATGAGGGAGACCACTGTGGTGTTTGGCTGGTTCTGTATCTTTTGTGGTGGTGTTCAAATGAATTTACACATGTGATAGCATGATATATGGCTTTACACATATTGTGTCAATGTCATTTTCCTGAGTTTGATATTTTACTATGGTTATGTAAAATGTGAACACTGAAGAAAATTGGGGGGACGGTACACAACACTTATTTATACTATATTTGCAATTGCTGTAAATCTATAATTATTTCAAAATTTTAAAAGCTTAAAGCTTTTTTCTGTAGATTAAAATTTGTTATCATGAGCAATTCTTTCATAACAAATAAAGTTTTATTTCTTTTGTTCTTTAAAAAAAGTAATAGCATGTAGAAACAAGTGACAGACATTGCTTTTCTTCCTTACTTCCTCCTCTGGTTGTGACTCAACACAAATGAAACAAAAGTTAATTTAAAAAACCCATCATGTACCATCAAAATGATATATAATACCATGGTCAAAACTAAAATGTTGTTGAAACCGTAGATGAAGACAAAATAAATGAGCTTTTGGGCAGGCATAGTGCTAAATGCAAAAGTTACATTGCTGACTAATCGTGATTTGGTTCCTGGTCTGAGAAAGCTTAAAGTATAATGAGTATACAGAAAATAAAAAGCAAAATTGAAATAAAATGAATGCTTGAAGGAAAGAGAATTGAGAATAAATAACAGTGCAATTCTAATTTAGGAAGAGTGGTCAGAGAAACCATCTCTGGAGAGATGATATTTAAGCTGAGACTTGAAGTGGTCAGCTACACTTTGATTAAGAGGCTCTCTGGGACATTAAAAATATTTCTGCCTTTGTAGAATATGACTTTGCCACAATGCAGGCGCAAATGTACATTTGACACGTTTCTACAGAGTATTGCTCTAACCCCCACAACTAGAAGAATTTCTGGCACACAGTACACACTTGTGTGTTGAAGAAATTCCCAAGTATTAATTCAATTTGTAAGCACATCACAATCAAGTCCTTTCAGACTGGGAAAGATAATAAATTTGCAAGAAAAAAAGAATTCAGATAGGACCTGCATTTCACCCTTAAAATCTAAAATTTAATAATATTTGATGTAATGATCTCATAGAAATGCTTAAATTTATGTTTTTAAATTCGTTGCCCTGTCTAAGCTTTATTATGTTTTAAATAGAATTTTATTTTTCCATCTTTTGGTCTTACACTTCAAATATTCTCCCATAAAGGAAGATATAATGCTTACTAATGGTGTGCCATTTTTTTGTGGATTTCAGTATGCCTAATCAGAAATGTTAAAGATTTTTTTTTTATTTTTAATGCTACCAGGAGACATTGTCTAAAATGTAAAATATAGCCCAATAATATTATTAAAATTAGTTTTATAATGTGTATGCTGTGAGAAAAATTAGATGCTAGGTCTGCTAGGTTCCGCCATCACCCCCCTGACACCAGCCACCCTTTGTGACCACTTCTGAGTAACCTGGTCCTGGTACTAGAATCTAGACTGATGATAAATCACTGGGATTCAAATATGTTACTCACTTAGCTTCTGATTTAAAGTGATGAGGTTCTTTCAGTTCAGCTTTAACGCTAACATTTAACAATAATGAGTCCTTGTTCTTCCTATTGCTAATGGATATTTTTCTCAGGTTTACAGTATTTCTCAGTGAAATGACAGGCCTATTGTGTAGCTCAGTTTAACATGCAGAAATACAGAACTAGATAAAAATTCAATAAACTGTAAGTAAGTTGTGCCTCTACCTAAAGTTAATAACCTGATCACTATCTGTAATAGAATTACGACACTTATTATCTCTGAGGGCTCTTCTAACAGAGGTATTAGTATGTTTTGCAGCTTCATTTCATAATGTAGTGTAGCCTGCCACCCAAATGCCACTGCTATTCCTCATCTCCCCAGTCATTAAATAGAATAAGAAACTCCAATTAAAAAAAATTAATCTGAGGAAATGGAGAGTGTTTATAAAGTGGTGGGTTAAGGTGATTTGTCTCCATTTTGAATTCTTCACTCTGTTATGGCCAAAAAAATTTCTCTATTCTTGAACTTTTATAGAACAATATTATTTTCACTAAGTAATAAAGATATTGGAGAGCTAACCCCATGGATTATTCTGAAAGCATAAGTACTTTGAGAAAATTTCTAATAAAGCTTATAAGCAAAAACAACCTAGAAACACAAGGCAAAAATATTTTAAAAATAGAGTAAAAGAACTTCTAAATGCTACTCTTACTAATATATATTTAGGCCCTATAGCAATGACTGTTTTAATTTTTTTAGTGTACTAAAGTTTTGCTTGCCAATAGTACATCACTGTTGTCAAGCAGAAACACAAAGGAAAGAGAAGGGGTGGATTTGACAGCATCCTCCCAAACGTGACAGACTATAAATTCTAAAATTAAGTTCACAAAATATGAATTTATATACTGCTAAATAATATTACATACTCCAACAATCTTTTTAAAAAATAATTCAGTATTTGGTAATTTTATAATCTCAGTTTAATATCAGCATGTATCCATGGATTACTGTTTGAGCACTGATTAAAAAAATAAATCTAGAAAAAAAAATTTTTTTTAAATGAAATCATGTCCTTTGCAGCAACATGGATGGAGTTGGAGACTATAATAAACACAGGGATGGAAAACCAAATACTGCATGTTCTGACTTACAAGTGACAGCTAAACATTAAGCATACGTGGACATAAACATGGGTACAAAAGACACCACTATTAATAGTAGAGGTGAGAGAGAGGAGGGTGTGGGTTGAACAGCTTATTGTGTATTACGCACATTACCTGAGTACAATATACCAATTTAACAAACCTGCAAATGTACTTTATCTGAAAAAAGTTGAATTATTAAGTGTTTTTTAATTTTTAAAATTGTTTTATTAAAATTTTTAATTTTGGGTACATAGTAGGTGTATATATTTATGAGGTATATGGAATATTTTGATGCAGGCAAACCATGTGTAATAATCACATCAGGGTAAATGGGGTATCCATTGCATTAAGCATTTCTCTTTCGTGCTACAAACAATGCAATTATACTCTTTCAGTTATTTTTAAATGTATAATAAGTTATTGTTGACTATAACCACCCTGTTGAGTTATCAAATAATAAGTCCTATTCATTCTATTTTTTTTTTTTTTTGTAACCATTTACCATACCCACTCCCTGCCTCCATGCACTACTCTTCGCAGCTTCTGGTAACCATCATTCCATTCTGTATCTCTAATGAGTTTAATTGTTTCAGTTTTTAGCTCTCACAAATAAGTGAGAACATGTGAAGTTTGTCTTTGGGTGCCTGGCTTATTTCACTTAACATAATGAGCTCCAGCTCCACCCCTGTTGTTGCGTAATGACAAGATCTCATTCTTTTTCTTTTTTTTAAAATTTATTTATTTTTATTTTTTTTAATTTATTTTTTGAGATAGAGTCTTGCTCTGTCGCCCAGGCTGGAGTGTAGTGGTGCGATCTCCATTCACTGCAATTTCCGCCTCCTGGGTTCAAGTGATTCTCCTCCCTCAGCCTCCCAAGTAGCTGGGATTACAGGTGCCCACCACCACGCCCACCTAATTTTTGTATTTTTAGTAGAGACGGGGCTTCGCCATTTTGGCCAGGCTGGTCTCCAACTCCTGACCTCAGGTGATCTGCCCGCCTCAGCCTCCCAAACTGCTGGAATTACAGGCCAAATCTCATGTTCTTTTAATGGCTGACTAGTGCTCCATTATGTACATGTATTTTAATCTCACAGTTGACATAGGCTACTAAACAGGGCAATCAGAGTGAAGTATCAATCTAAGACATTTAACAGAATATACTTTTTTTTTTTGAGATGGAGTCTCGCCCTGTGGCCCAGGCTGGAGTACAGTGGCATGATCTTGGCTCACTGCAACCTCTGCCTCCCGGGTTCAAGAGATTCTCCTGCCTCAGCCTCCCAAGTAGCTGGGATTAGAGGCGCATGCCACCGTGCCCCGCTAACTGTTTGTATCTTTAGTAGAGACGGGGTTTCACCATGTTGGCCGGCCTGGTCTCGAACCCCTGACCTCATGATCCACCTGCCTCAGCCTCACAAAGTGCTGGGATTACAGGCGTGAACCACCTCGCCTGGCCCAGAATACACTTTTTAAGACAAACTATTGGTCTATTAAAATCATATTAGTTCAAATAAAATACCATCTTTCCTAACTTTCTTGCTCCTAAGTTAATTAATGACTAGTTCTGGTCAATTACAGACTACAATGTAGTAGACCAAATATATGGAGAGATGAAATGAGCCTGTGCCCACAGTGTGCAAATCTGTTTTATCACTTTCTATATTATTTGAGCTAAAGGACAATTTAAAGCCCACTGACCACAGACTACAGGAAATATATCTTTTAACAAACAGAGTTTTGATTGACTGCTGCATGAGACAACACATATAGGAATTGAATCTTAGGGTGTTTCTTATAAGGTTCTGGCTTGTGCTGGGTAATTTTAAGGCGAGAGAAGGAAAGTGAGGTCTGATTTAAAATTGTATTCTGTTAAGAATTGGGGAAATTTGGTATCTTAGAAATTTATGTCTATGAGATGGGAGAATAAAAAGAAAAAGGATATCATTGGGAAGAAGGCAGCAATTACTCAGAAAAATATGGTTAGTCATTATGTACCTGGAATTAGGCCTTGGGTACACGCTTTAAACACATTATGTTCCCTTGACCTTGTCCCTGTTCTTGTGGAGCCATTGATGATATTCTCTTAGGAATATTATAATTTCAACAACTCCCATGTTACATAACAACTCCTTTTAATCAGAGCTCTTGTCCACATCACTCATGAGTCACAAGACTGTGACACAAAAATACTGGCAATTACAGGTTACATAAATGGTTCTGGAAAAGAGGAACTAAGTAAAATGTTTCTTAATATTAAAGCCAACCCTCTCAATGCATCACTTGTAACAAACTATGTGAAAGAGTGAACATATTTTTTTCTAACTCCATTGTCCTGACCTGAAAAAAATCGTTTGCTTTTCTAAGATTCAAAATTCCATTTTAGAAAATTAGAATAATAACACCACCCTTAGTCATGCTTCACAAGGTTAAAACAAAGATTCAAAGACATATAAAAGATAAATATATCAATTATGTGTTGCTATTAAACTACTAATAAACACTTATAGTGTGCTAAATACTTTACATATATTAACCCATTTAATACTCACACACGACTTTCTTTCTGATAAAAGGCCAAGTAACCTGCCATAGATAAGTGATAGACATGCTATTTTGACCAAAGATGTCTGTCTCCAGAGTCCCTGCTTGTAAAGGTTATAAATGAAGTTCAGTTTATAAAAAGCCTCAAAGGTACTTATTTCTAATGTTTAACATCTCTTTTTTATTCATTTCTAGTGATGAGTATAGTGTTGGAATATAAAGCCTGCCTTAGTTTTTCAAGTGCAGAGAAGTTTCCAACTATTTGCTTAGACTCGTCTATAACAAAACATACTTAAGTCTATGAATTAAATCACAGTTTCTTCCATATATTAAGTCATAGAACTGGAACTTTATTGAGACTCTTCAGGAACTTGGAGGTATAGTATGCAAATAGGGTGAAGTAGTGAATTTGTGTTTCTCTAATACTTTCTCTTTACAGCCTTTTCTGAGCCAATTCTATTTCATTCATTGAATAGAATTTCATAGATTTTTGTTATAATTACAATGCATTTTATTTACTTAAAGTAGAATCCCAATTAATATGACAACTTATAATAAGTGTAGTAGGCATTTAATTATTCTTTCATCCTCATTAAATAATCCAAGACAGAAATAAAGAAAATTGAGATAATAGAGTGCCATTCCATAATAAATGTTTATTGAGCACCTAATACGTGTTCTAGTTTCAGGAGAGATACCAAAGTACACTCAAACCTCAGATTCTCATGGGTAAAAACGGATTACACAAATAGCAATAATAAATTAATACTACATAGAAACAAAAGATGTCAATAACTGTCGTAATCTGTTCAGGCTGCTAGAACAAAATACTTCAGACTGGGTAACTTATAAACAAAATACATTTATTTCTCACAGTTCTAGAAGCTGGGAAGTCCAAGATCAAGGCACCAGCAGCCACTCATGAGGGCTGTGTATTTGTCATGCTTCTCCAGAGGGACAGAATTAATAGGCCATATGTATGTTTGAAAGGGAGTTTATTAAGAAGAATTGGCTCACACGATCACAAGGCAAAGCCCCACGATAGGTCATCCTCAAGTTAAGGAGCAGGGAAGCCAGTAGTGGCTCTGTCTGAGTCCCAAAGCCTCAGTAGGGAAGCCGACAGTGAGGCCCTCAGTCTGTGGCCAAAGGCCCAAGAGCCCCCAGCAAACTGCTGGTGTAAGTCCATGAGTCCAAAGGCCAAAGAACCTGGAGTCTGATGTTCAAGGGCAGTAGGAATGGATGGAAGCATGCAGCATGGGAGAAAGTTGAAAACCAGAAGACTCGGCAAGCCAACTTATCCCACCTTCTTCCACCTGCTTTGTTCTAACCATGCCAGCAGCCGACTGAATAGTGCCCACCCACACTGAGGATGGGTCTTTCTTTCCCAGTCCACTAACCCAAATGTTAATCCCCTCTGGCAACACCCTCACAGACACACACAGAAACACTACTTTACCAGCTACGTAGGCATACTTGAATCCAATCAAGCTGACACCTAATATTAACCAGCACAGGCCGATTCCTCATAGACAGTGCCTTCTTGCTGTGGTTCTGTCCTCCACAGTAAAGGGGCAAAGCAGGTTTCTATAGCCTCTTTTATAAAGGCACTATCCATATTCTGGAGACCTCATGACCTAATTGTCTCCCAAATGTCCCACCTTGGAATACCATCATCTTGGTAATTGGGATACAACATACAAGTTTTGGGGGAACACAAACATTCAGAACATAGCAATAACTAAAATAAGACAATGAGATAGAGAGTTGCATTCAAAGAAAGGAATAACAGGTAGGCAAGAAGATTCCCAAGTGGAGGTGGCATTTGAGCTAAGACCTGATGAACAAGAAAAGAAGCTACACAAGATCAACAGAAATTGCCTTCCAGAAAACAGAAAGACGAGATTTGCAGTCCTGGATGATGGAATCGTCATGGTACATTGAACACATCAGAAGATGGCCAGCAAAGGACTGGAAGACCACTGGAGAAGTAGGCAGGGACTAGATCATATGGGATATTGCAACCAGTGCCAGGAACAGACACTGCCTAGGGTGCAAGGGCTATCTGAACTGCAGGCAGAAGCAATGGAAGGATAATTCATAATTAACTGGAAAATAATTTTCTTTTGAAAGAATGAATATAAAATATTCTTGAATAGCAAAGTAACATTTCCTAGTAATGCTGAGTGTGATAATAATGTTTTGCTTACCTTAAAGTTTGAATTCATTGTCCAATAAGTTTATATTCACAGCAGTTGCAATTGGCAGCTGAGGAACTTTCCACATTATTAAGAATTCATATGGCACTCAGAGTTTTAAAAATATACTTCTAAATGTAATACACATGAAAAGTGATTCTTATTTTTACTGTACAATTTGAACTGTATTAAGTGCTAACTTATAAGATACATGAAATATTTTGTAATGTTTTTACAATAATAAAATTTATACACTAAGATGCTTAAACGTGAGTAGTAAAATCTAGGTATCATTTTCAAACTAAAATATTACATAAGAATTTTAATGGTTTTTATTTGCAATGATTTACAGGATGAAGCTAATTAAACTAAGAAACATTTTGTGACTTGAAAAATGTTGATCTTTAAAGTATTGTCAGTAGAACATAGTCATGTTAAAAGGTATTACATCAGTGATTTTTTTAAAGAGCACAAATTTTGTGGGGTAAATATAAAATAATCTATGAATTATATATTTTATATGTTACCACTTATCCAAATATCACATTTGGGCCATAAACAGAACAACTAGACATGTGCAATAACACTACTCAAATTCAGTTGTTACTAATATTTTGCAATTGCATTTTTTAAAATAAGAGATTTAAACATATTTTTAGATTTTTTTATTGTTAATGTGCATTTACCCAGGAAAATAATATAGCTTAATAAGCGACTGATTTATAACTTCAAAATATTTTATATACGGCATATAGACCTTCATGTTCATTCTTCTTTTAGCCCCACAAATATTAAGGGTTGATTGACCTCATGAGGCAATTTATTATTTCATTGCCTAAATTAAAACACTTTTGAAAGTGAAAGTAAGCACTATTAATAATTATATCAAAATGACAGACATAAATTGGGACTATCTCAAGCAACCCTGAACACTTCTATGCAAATTGGAACAAATGGTCACCTGAGTTATAAGCCTGGTAAGTGAATAGGGATGAGTATTGGCAAGACCCAATAAATTTATTACAGTTTCTGTATTTTGCCAAGTTGCTTCAAGCATATACTATTTCTATAGAGATACTTTTATTAATTAATTGTAATTTTATTCTTACAAATTAGCATTATTTTCACCTTAGTACATCTGAAAATGATTCTATTTATTACGAATAATCTAAAGTTGACATGTATATTTTATCTGAAGTTTAACCTTCTTTTTGGTGTCTAGTACACACTGGTTACAAAGAATGTATTTGAGAAAAGAAGGAGGATGGAAGACAAAGAGGAATAGAATGGTGTTACTAGTGTATATGACACTGATAGATGGAGAAGATCATTTTTAACCTGCTCATGACAAATTCTCTTCAGTATCAATCATGAAATAAGATTAATAAAACATCAGTGCTGTATGTGCAAACTAAAAATAAATTAATAATGTCTAGAAACAAAGGAAGGCAATTAAAATTCTTTTATTGAAATATATATATACTGTATATAATAAAGATTATTTCCTTTATTATCTTTCCCTCCTTCCCCCATAAATAGATATTTATACCTATTTTAATTATAATAAATATAATTATATAATTATAATTAAAATGAATACACAAAAAATCACAGTCAAAAAAGGAAAATAAATTATATGATTATTACGTCTTGATTACACTAATGCATTTATATAAAGTGAGAAAAACAACCCTGTATATTGGTCTATTTCCATGATATATGATAACATTACAGCTTAATAATGAATAAGAAAAACAATTTTTAAATTAAATTTCAATGTAAAAGATATTATTCAAATTCCATAAAATATTTCATTGCTGAACTAAAATTTGCACTTATCAAAGAAAAATATTAAAATTTGCATTTTGTCCTCTGTTTTACTTTTTAAATTATATACAAAAAATAACTCCAGGTGGTCATGTAGAATGATAGAATTGAAATAACTCAAGGTATTTTCTTTATCTTTACAATCACTCTGCAGTCACTATTTATTTTGAGTCTAGTATTTAAACACAGAACTATTTAATGTCAACTAGAGGAGGAGACAGGTATTATAACAAAAGTAACCTTGAATAATAATCAACCATTATAAATTTACTCTCCAATGAGAACATATAGCTGAGTTTGCATATGTACAATAGGGAGTTCTCCAAGTTAGCTCCCATTTAAAATAAAATGTTTTAAAAGACGAGTAATAAAACTGTGCTAATTTGAAGTATACATTTATAGTATTAAAACCGAGCAGTACACACCACTGTTTAGAATTTAGATCAATAGGCCAGGCACAGTGGCTCATGCCTGTAATCCCAGCACTTTGGGAGGCTGAGGTGGGCAGACCACCTGAGGTCAGGAGTTTGAGACCAGCCTGACCAATGTGATGAAACCCTGTCTCTACTTCAAACACACACACACACACACACACACACACACACACACACACACACAGTCAGCTGGGCGTGGTGGCATGTGCCTGTAATCCCAGCTACTCGGGAGGCTGAGACAGGAGAATCGCTTGAATTCGGTGTTGTGGGGAGAGGGGGTTGGGGAAGGTTGCAGTGAGCCGAGATCGCGCCATTGCACACCAGCCTGGGCACAAGAGCGAAACTAGGTCTCAAAAAAAAAAAAAAAAAAAAAGAACTTAGATCCTTAGATCAATACAATAGAAGTTTCTATCAGAGTAGAAAGTAGAATAACTTTTTTTAGAATTTATCAATTTTTAGAATTGCTGGTGCATTTAAATATAAAAATCTGTCTTTTAGTTGGTTTTATTACTAATTTTATATAATCATACAAATCCTTCTTGCTTGCACCTAGGCAGGCTGCTCTTTTATCTTCTTCTTCGGAAAGTCCATTGGAGGGAAGGAGGGAAAGTAATAAAATATATAACAAAAGAAAATAATTTTAATTAGTCTACTCTGATAGGTTGAAATCACAGAACAAAGTAAATGCTGTAATATAAAATCTAAAAGGAGGGCAATATTTTTCTCTATATCAAGCAGAGCAAGTATGCAAATAACTACTGTAATCTACTGAGTACTTTTTTTTTTTTGAGACAGAGTCTCACTCTGTCGCCCAGGCTGGAGTGCAGTGGCATGATCTCGGCTCACTGCAAGCTCCGCCTCCCGGGTTCACACCATTCTCCTGCCTCAGCCTCCCAAGGAGCTGGGACTACAGGCTCCCGCCACCACGCCTGGCTAATTTTTCGTATTTTTAGTAGAGACGGAGTTTCACCGTGTTAGCCAGGAAGGTCTCAATCTCCTGACCTCGTGATCCGCCCGCCTCGGCCTTCCAACCGAGTACCATTTTAAATGAATACATATGTACCATAAAGCTACTTTCCTAATGATATGCATCTCTATATTGATTTATTCCCCTGTGGAGAAGAATTAGCTTAACAGGAAGTTTCTATGAGTTTAACATACAGGCAAATACATATAGAACTATTCACAGACATAACAGATTTTTGAACATTATGCCCATTTTAACATTCCTACCAACAGAAATAGTAATTATGTTAATACTAGGAAGGGGTAGTAGCTGTTCTGATCCAAAGTTTCTTGTGGGATGTGTTCTTGTCAAATAAAGTAATTGTTTGCATATCAAATATAGATACAATATATAGAGTTTAACATTTTTAATATAACATTTCCTAAGCTCTTCCTTATGCCTAGATGAATTTTTCTTTTTATTCATGAAGAGAATTGATTAAATTAAATATCACTCACATACATTCCTGTAATCTAATTTTATGCATTTTTGAGGGAGTAGGAGTTACATAAAAGTAAATAATATTGCTTTGGGATACAACAAAGCTAATAGGAATTAATGATTGCTGAAATAGTAATAAATTAGCCAAAGCGTCTGTGATAGATCAAAAGTCATAAGCATAATAATAATAATCTGAGATGCCACAAATTGCAATAATTACTATGTTCAAATTAGAAAATTATATGTTAATCCATTAATGAGCAGCAACTTTGAAATAAGAGTCTGAAAGTATGTGGATGTTTTGTGGAAAACTATTACTAAAAATTTTAAATAATAGGCATTTCATGAACATTATTCTACAGATAGCCACTCAAATATCAGCTATTCTAAGAAAAAAAATCGATTGACAAAATATCTTGGACCTGCAGGATATAAGACACCAAATACACCAAGCTTGTAAAACCCTCCAGATGACTGGATGATAAAAAATTGATATGGACATGGGTGCATGACAACAATTACCTCTTGGTATCCAGGTGTTCCCTGCTTCTGTCTGCCAAAGAGTCTAATTTCTGTCTAAATCTGTCTTTAATCCCTACATGCTCACATCAACTAAACCCAAACTCCAAGGAAAGAGACAACGTCTTTGAAAGGTTTTAATAACTCTTAATAATTTATATAATAATCTGAATATAATTTATATAGTTATATAATAATTTATCCGGTGCTAATAATTAATTCAATTATCATGCATTAATTAGGTGATAATTAATTTATCAGGTGTCCCAGGCTGCTTTAAGACTTGCGAACTAGGAGAACGCAGCCATTTTAGGATCCTTTTACCAAACTGTCACAGGACTCGGAGGACCTCGTAGATCTGTCTTTGAGAAAGACCCTGACTTTTCTCTGGCCCACAGACCTCCTCCAGCTAAAGAAATCAACTACTAACTGCTTAAAACATCCTTCCTTCAGCTTCTAGATTTCAAGCAACCCCAACACTTTCCTTTTGAGGCAGTCTGTTGACTATCTTTTCTACCAGATCTGTGATTGTTGGGAAATCCCAGTTTTCTCTCCTTAAATTCTTTTTTTTTCCTTTTGTATCATCTTCTTAAGTGATTCATCTGGTCCTATGGCTTTAAATGGAAGCAGGCCAATCCAAATTGGATCCGACAGATATATGAGTTTTTTTAATTAATTTAAATTAGTTTATATTTGAGATAAATTAAAATTCTAAATTGAAATAAAAACAGCTAACTTGGGAATTTAAATTTAATTTAAAATCTTACAGTCAATTAGGTTTAAGTTACTTAAATTTAAATTTAATTAAAATGCAGAAGCATATGAAATGAATCATATTTAGGCAAAACATTCACTTCGTATATGAAGTACTGAAATTTTGATTTCTAACAAGTTGCAATCAGGATATCCTGACTTGGTAGCAGTTTGCAGAAGGGTTTGACATGATAAGTTAAAACAGCCCAAAACAGCATAGCAGAAGTAAAGCTGTCCAATAGGAATTATTATCCTGGGTCATATGATTAATGCTCCAAGTCAGATTTGAAGTATGAAATCATGAAATTGTGAAAGAGGGCTCATAAAATAATGTAAGTTAAGATATGTTTCTCTTGAAGTGATAAACATCTGGTTACTCTTGCTAATACATGTTTTTTCACTATGTCTCCATCAGTTAGGCTGCCCCTTTGCTGGCTGCATCTTGCCTACTTCTAGAGTAAGGATCCACCAATTGCTAAATGCTCCCAGTGAAACTCCCTTAGGCCTATGCTATCTGCCTCACCACTAGAAACTTCCTGAGAGAAGAATTCCACAAGGAAGCTTCAATTAGAACCTACCACTCACCACTTTCTAAGAGCTCATCAACAAAACTCCATCTAGCCCCACATCCTTATTTAGGGCAATCAGTACCAGAAAGCCAACCAAGCCTCCCAGTCCTCCTCGCCCCAGCTCTCATCCCCACGTATCTCTGTATTGCCTCTAGCAGGCTGCCAAAGCCAGAGTTTCTCAAACCTTTTGTTAGTCCCTCTGAAATTACAGTCTGTCATAATATACAAAATCCCCAAAATGGTCAACAACTTCCAATTCAGGGATCCCTTTTGCTCTGAGAGACTCCAAACCCATGGGGTTAGAAATATTTGGAGGAATGTCTGCCACAGTGGTCAGGAGCTCTCCCAGCATGTAGTAGACAGGAGTCAGGAATGCTAAATGGCCTTGATGGTTCAATAGTCCTGTAGATTTGTGCTGCCTAAAATGCCAAGAGTCCATATGGAAGAACACTGTGGGACTTCCTAGTCAGTAAATGAATGTTTTCTCACATTCTTCTCATCTGGTTGTTGTCTTGTTTATTATCATTTGTTTGTTTTATACCCAGTAACATTAAGTCTATTCTAGTAAGGGGATTTTATTCTTGCTCTTCATTGCTACTTCCTGATAATTATTCCTCACTCCTATCTTAGAAAAACAAAACCAATCAAACAGGAGAACAACAACAAGTTATTTTGATCATACTAACACTAGATTATACCACATTTCATGTCTTTTTATCCACCACTGTATCTATAATAAAGCTGCCTGCTTTCAATACCCATGTAGAACATCCAGTCCCTTGATCTCAAAGAAAACGAAGTTATTTTCAATTCACTTCTACCTACCATTTACGTAATCTTGCTCTAGACTTTGTTACAATTTTTGTGCCACCTCCATAATCTCGACTTCAAGCTTCCCACACTCTGACTACCAAGTTCTATCCTTCTAATTTACTCCTCCTGGTACTTTCACCCAGTTTCTTAAAATTAACTTTGAGAATGAGATCTGCTTTGAAGATTTCTTTTTTCTACAAGCCCTTTCACAATTGCCCTTATGAAAGAATGGCATGGCTTTATATCTTTTATGAAATAATGGTCTACTTTTTGCCCACTCTAAATCTTTCTATTGTCTGTTGACCTGAAACCAAACACCCTGGTATACCATACAAAGGGAAAATTAAACTAATGCTATAATGTAGGCATCATAAATATTTCTTTCAACTTATCTCTTTAAGTGACATTGTTCCAAAAAATTTACTTTTCACATTTAAAAATTATTGTCATCAATTCTTTCATTCTGTACTAAAAATAGATATAACAATAAATTAATTTAGATAATATATGTTAACAATTAGCATCTTAGAATTAAAGAAAATATAGCATTTTAATTATATATATGTTTTTGTTACGGAATACTGTTTTAGAATTATCAACAAAATATTTTAGAGACATAAGTTCATATAATACTAGAGGACATTTCTGGGAAAGGGAAAGGAATATATATACAAGTTCAAATTGGAAAAAAGAATTCTGTAAAATTTCTGATGTAAAGACCTTGTCCATATATCACTGTAGGTTTTAAATTCCACTGGATATAGCTAAAAGGATGATATACACTGTAAGTATTTTTGAAGTGTATATATTTATAGTATGCTAGAAGTTACAACCTTTGCAACTATTTAAACATATGGTAAAAAATTTTGTATTTCAACTTTAAAATATATGAGGAACTAAATGATAATTTTTTAAGCATGGGTCCACAGACAAAGGATTTGAAGACCACTAATATACTCCAAATTCCCGTCGTAAGAATCTCATCTATATGTTCCTGACTAGTGGAAATCAGACCTGCTTGTAAGAGAGTAGAAGGATAAGGGAATTGATTAATATTTATTAAGTACTTATTATCTGCTTAATGTCCTGAACTAAATTTTATATAGAATTTCCAAACAAGTGATACAATAACTATGAGATTATTATTCTTCCTTTCAGGAAAAAAAAAAAGAAGCAATGGCACGTAAACAAACTTCTCCAATATGTTAATCTGAGAAGGAGAAATGAGAATCTGGGTTGGGGAACAAGTTTGTCTAAATTCAAAGCCCAAATCAGTTCTACTAATAAATAGTGGGATTGAGCATTCTAATAAAGGATACTCCCGTGTTCCATCCTGGAGATTAATGCAAGATAAGGCAGGAGAATAAAGCAGATAGCAATCATATTTCATGTTTGCTATTGATAAAAGCTAATAGGAAATCTTATAAGTATGTGGCTGTAGTATGGATTTCAAGACTGGACCCCAAGAAGAGTGTGTCATCCCGTCTATCTGCTAGAAGATCTGAACAACCGGCCGGGCGCGGTGGCTCACGCCTGTAATCCCAGCACTTTGGGAGGCCGAGACGGGCGGATCACGAGGTCAGGAGATCGAGACCATCCTGGCTAACACGGTGAAACCCCGTCTCTACTAAAAATACAAAAATTAGCCGGGCATGGTGGCGCGCGCCTGTAGTCTCAGCTACACAGGAGGCTGAGGCAGGAGAATGGCGTGAACCCGGGAGGCGGAGCTTGCAGTGAGTCGAGATCGCGCCACTGCACTCCAGCCTGGGCGACAGAGCGAAACTCCGTCTCAGAAAAAAAAAAAAAAAAAAAAAAAGATCTGAACAACCATGGCCATCCCTCTGAAAGACCAGTACCTGTTTCTGCAACATTTGGAGAGAAAAGCAGAACAGAATAAAAATTTTCTGCAGGAAATCAGATCCTTAGGAGAATGGGAGGGAAGCTATCGGTGCTAAGGTAAGTGCAACCAGCTCTTGATCCCAGTTTTACCAATCAGTTAAATAACTTCTTAATCAGAGATTTATTGACCAGGCTTGACCTCCCCAGAGTAAAGCTACAGTAAGACAGTAAACTCACTGTATGCAGGTTGCTTGCTCCAAGTCTATCGCTTCTGCAAAAATATCTTCCTTCTGATCAGTCTACAGAGCCCCCAGGGTTTTTTTTTAATGTGTTTTGTACAGAGTTCTTAATTGCAGATTGTTTTATTAGAATCCCATGCCTCTATTCCACTGCGCTTAGACCTTATGATCATCTAGAAGTGATTTTCCCTATGTTATCAAGAAGTGATCTATTTGTTTCTAACATTTAAATTCCTAATTTTCCTATATTTTCCATTAGCTGGAAAATTCAGCTTTTTATAAATTCATTTTATGTACATGTGACAGTGCATGTATGTATACATATATTCATATATATATACATATATAGTGTATATACTGTATACACATAATTCTCCTTAACAAACTAATCCATTACATTAATCCCTTTATTTCTATATTTCCAACATATGCTTTATTATATATAATAGCAAGATTCTACTCATTTTCTCTTCATGTTTCTAGATTTAGAATCAAATATCTTACTAGTTATAAAACTTAAAATAGTTTTTCACAGAACACAGATATTTCTAGATAACTAAACCTATCAAACACTGACAAATTTTTATTTTCAAAAACATACAGATTGTTCTTCTTTCTTGAATAATGGAATTGATAATATTGTTAAATTGTAGCAAATACAGCAGCTTCCTGGTTTTTTTCCCAACTTTAAAGGATATTATTCTGATTGGTGTTGCTTTGATGGTGCTTTTTAAGATAGTTTTGTGATTTTTTGGACAGTTTTTGGACATGTTTTATATTTGTTAAAAGGCTTATATAAGAAATGAATGCTAAATGAGGCCAATTCAGCAGTGCTTTAATAGATTAGATTAGAATTACTAGATTTCCAACTGTTTATTATTAATTCATTGGGATATTATCCTTTCATTATTCTGGGATAAAGTCTAATTTGCCATTAAGTTTTATTCTTTTAATAACCTGCTGTATTTGGTTTACTGTTATTTTACTTAGGATGTATGCAGCTTAATTTATGTTTTTGATTTCTCCCCACTCAGGCTGCAGGGTAGATGAGAGATAAAGGAAATAAGTCAGGGATTTAACATGATGAATCTGATCACCCTTTTGACCATATTTAACTCTAATGCTACTATCTCTGTGGCAAGTAGAGCTGCCCAATGCATGCTACCTGAGGTCTGCCATCTGCCCGGTATTTTCTGACTCAGAATCCCGCTTCCTAAATTGTCCTGAAGGATTTGAATAAGAGAGCTCAGGTGTAATAAGCAAGACTTCCAGATGTGAGGAAAAACATTATTCCAACTTCATGCTCACTTTTTTTAACCCTTTTTTTTGCACTCTGTTGTACTTTTTCTATTCTCTAGTGCTGAGCACATGCAACTCCACAGAATTGAGTACTCTGTCTGTGTAAGAGAGCACCCCTTAGATTAAGCTTAGTGTTCACGTCCACGTTCTATGATTAAATAACATGTTTTCTCTCCCTGCTCTCTTCTTGTCACTCAGGCAAAGAATTTGTGTCCTGGAGACTATATAATGATTTACAAACTTTTGCCAATGGAAGAAAATAATGAGGTTGCTTGGAGGTAGAGAAGAGGTGGGATTTATTTTTTAAAGTGGCTGCAATTTGAAAGGTCACTTAAGAGGGCAGTAAGCAATCCTCTTAGAAAGAGACTATGTCTGTTTTTTCCCTGTTTGTTTGTTTGTTTGTTTAATGCGAGGACAGTGCCCTTTGCGGAGAGCCAAGAGGAAAACAAAATTTAACTAAGAGTAGTAAAATTGTTCTGGAAAATAAAGTAACTGAAATTGTAAGCAGGTAGACTGAGACAAAGGATTTGATGAGAACTAGTATAGTGAGAGGAGTTTTCTTGAAAAGAGAATATTCTGAATAAGGAGTTGCAGAGACTACGAATCCCCAGGGAAGGTAGGAGTGTCATGGAGATTAACGAGGTTACAGATAATAAATTTCTTGTTTGAGGAATGCCAAAATGACTTTTAGGGAGTTGAGTCTTAGGTTTTTAAAGGGCTGGGCTTTTACCAGTATCTCATTACGCAATGTAAAGGCTAAGAGTATGCCTAGAGCAACCTACCAAAAAATTGGACTCAATTTAATATTTGCTATTTTTCAAAATCTTCAAGGATAGATCATCTCTGGAAAAAATATTCAATAAAAAGATAATGAGGTTTGCCTCTAGGAAACAAGATTGTAGTTGTCTGGGAAATGAAATGGGAGGAGAATTACTGTTCAAGTTATATCCCTGTGCTTATATTACCTACTCCAGAATAAAATAATTTAAAATGGAAATAAAAATAGTTATATAGAAAAACCAGTGGTTTTTTAGACTTCTTTACTCTTTTAATTTTTTCCCCTAATATTTTAAAATGCCTAGAGGAGAAGAGCAGTATAGGATTTTTAGTGTTTTGAACACTGAATTATCCTTAATCCCTCAGAAAAAGAGGATGTTACATACAACAGCTTTGTATGAATGGTGCTTTGGAGAATTAAGGAGAAGGAGCAGTGGCCTGGAATGAGGCAAAATGTTATGGAAATAGGACAAGAGCCTCACAAAACAGAACCAGAAATGGAAATTTATAATTCAGGGAGAAAAGCAGGAATTTGGAGTGAGAGTTAACCCAGCACACAAAAAACCCCCCAGGAAAACTCTGAAATCTCACTCCTTGAAATTGAAGCTTGAATGAATCAGTTTATTATATCATAGATGATACCACAGGCTGAATGACTTCGAGATGCTCAGGTTCTGTTTGCTTTTAGGTTACTTTAAAATTCTGCTTTATTCTTTTCTGAATGCACATCATTTTGTCAATACCTCTGATTTGTGGCTTCTGGAAGTAACAATAAGTTACAACAAGTAAGCTCTAACTAGTACAGAGCACAATGGAAAATTTACAGCCCCTGAGCTAAACACTGCATTTGAAATGTTCCTGCTAAATGCTCTAACTCTCCATAACACATATAACATAGTAAGCTTTTTCTTTGGTTTCAAAATGACCACATGTTAATAGTTTATGTTAAATATTTGGTCTACTATCATGACCATGTCTTTTTCACTTGAATTTCTCTACTAAGACAACTACAATCATATATTTGTGTGGAATTACATATCTACATAAGTGGAAATTTATTTAATGTCCTTACATATTGTCTTGTTCATTAGTTGTCTTTGAAAGTCATTTTAAAAATCTTTGTATTACCTGCCTCAAAAGGTTGCTAGGAAGATTGGATAAAATAATAAATATAAAGCAGTGAAATCAATGCATAGCACATAATAAAGGCTCAATATAAGTTAACTGACATTCTTACTCCCTACTCCATTCTCTGAGATAAGCATTTTAAGGCAGACTACAAATTTGTCAGATAATTTGTTTTCAATGGCAGAACATTTCTAACTCATGTCTGTATGGTTGAAGTCTGCTAATTTGACTGGAGCTTGCTCCTTTGATAGTTACATAATCACAGGCATGTTATCAGGACTCTTGTTATTCCACAGATCAGCACATTGACAGCACCTTGGAGGTTGCTAAAAGGCAACATTTCAGACATCACTTCAGAAATAGTGTGTCAGAATCTTCACTTGAAAAACTGCAACAACAAAACTCTAGATAATTCAAATGCACGTTAAAATTTGAGAAGCTTAAGAAGCACTGCTCTAGAAATTTTACTTACCACATTTTGCAAATTTGAGTTCTTTTAGCTTCCACTATTTTACATTGCTATTGAAATTGTTTGACTTCTCCTTTTAAGTACAGGTGTCTTTTCTTTGGGACTTCATCTACTGAATCACACATATTTCTTATGACTTGTTTACTTCCTTCAGAGACTGTGTTATGTATACAGTATATGAGAGTGCATCATCATTTTGCTTCTTACCTTCAGGCACAGACCTAGAGCTGTATTATTGTACAGTGTTTATTCTTTAAATCATCACAAGACTTGAAATTTTTGTAAATGGAAGATGTTTTAAAAATATTTGTTATATTATTTATTATCTGGAAATATATTTAACCAGCATAATCTTTATAAAGATTTAGTATGAAGCTGGGCGTGGTGGCTCACACCTGTAATCCCATCACTTTGGGAGGCCAAGGCGGGTGGATCACCTGAGGTTAGATCACCTCGCCAGATGGTGAGACCCCGTCTCTACTAAAAACACCAAAATTAGCTGGGCGTGGTGGTGCACACGTTTGTAATCACAGCTACTCTGGAGGCTGAGGCAGGAGAATCACTTGAACCTGGGAGATGGAGGTTGCAGTGAGCCAAGATTGCATCACCTCACTCCAGCCTGGGCAACAAAGTGAGACTGTGTCTCAAAAACAAACAAACAAAAAAGATTTAGTATGGGGCCATTTTACTGCTCAAGAAAATAGTAAAAATGTATCTTTTGTGTGAACATAAGAATCTTGTTGCCTTTTGACTTTTCATATTTTTGTGTGTTTTCTGTTGAATACTTATCTGGATTGCCTGATGAAAATACTGTGTCCAAGGGGCTACAAAATTTACCATTTGAAATTTTGAAATTTTCTGTAAGACTGACATATAACAAGACAGTTCAACACTCTTGCTAATTCTTATTTAGTATAGACTTACTAGGCCATTCCTTAGTGGTTTTACCTGTTCCTACCATCGATCCTGAAGCCCATACCTCGGTTCACAAGGTCTTTCTCTTTACTGCCCTGCTCTTGTCTCTGAGATCTTCTCATTTCCACAGCACTAGGTAAGAGTGGAGTGGAGGTGTCTACACTTCCTCATCTCTCTCCCAGGTCTTACAAATTTGTATTTCTTCTTAGTTCTTGGGGAATAACCACAGGCTACTCTAATTTCCCCCTAATTTCCTTAAGCGCAAAGTTTTATTTTCCCTTTCTAAAATAATAGACCTTGCTGGTTCTCTAAAAGATGAAAATGTTAATCTCTCACACAGACAGACACAGGTCCTAGAAGCACCAAAGCCATTTCCTGAAGTAAGTAATACTTGGACTTTAAGAACAGAAAGACCTGGCAATCTTTGGGCTGGAGAGAGTTGGGGAAAATACTTTTTATTACTGCCTGAGGAGTTTACAGTAGTAAAAAAATTAGAGTTCAAGGCAATTTCTTATTATCTCTTTTCATAAATTCTTGGAAAACCACCCAGCAATAATAATTTAGCATTTGGTTTTTATGAGCAACATGACTCTGTATTTTTATGTATATTTTTCTTACTTAGAAAAAAATCCTCACATATTACACAATAATACTGTATTTCATATTTTGGTGCCTGGATTATAGAGGTGGATAAATTTAAATATTTTCACAGAATATTATAAAAAAGGATTAAGAAATCCATCAAAAATATTTCGTCATTATTCTGTACAAATGGATAAGTCAGCAGTTAAAATTGTTCTCAGCACTTTTGGCAGTAAAAACATATGATAAAAAATGATGGTGTTGGACAAGATAGTTTCCAAAATGCCTTGCCAATTTGTAAAGGGTGAAATGAAGGTGTACAGTCGTCCCATGATATACATGGGGGATTGATTCTAGGACTTCAGAGGATACTAAAATCCATGGATACCCAAGTCCATTATATGAATTCTGATATAATTCTGCATATAACAAATGCAGTCTTCCATATACTTTAAATTTTCTCTAGATTATTTAGGATACCTAATACAACATCTACATATCCTATTTGCCTAGATTCAGTGCAGTACATGGCACAGAGAATATTCAAGCTTTGCTCTTTGGAACGTTGTGGAATTTTTTTTTCCTGAATACTTTTGATCAACATTTAGTTGAATCCACAGATGTGGAACCCTTGCATACAAACAGTCAACAGTATATATATTTTTCTTGATAGGGTTTCACAAAATGAACGTCTAAGGGTGAAGGGTAATGAATATAAAAGTATCAGTTTCTTTCTTCATTACCTTGGTTAGCATTATTCTTAACATATATTAAAGTTCATATTATTTAAATTCGCATGCATTTCACACTAGTGTTTAACTTCTCAAGCTGGTCCAAACCATGTGCCTAGTTAATGCTTCTCCAAGCCTTCAGTCACATCTAGAGGATTCCTCACCCCTACACCTGCATCACCACAGTGTAAATCCACAGTATAAATTGGAATAATATTTCCATGTCTTATTCAAATGTTTGCTGTGTAGATTTCTGTGATTCTAAAACAGTAAATAATTTCTGCCTTATTCTACATATTCATAATTATCTGTTAAATAATTATTTTTAAGTATTTTATTATCACTTCATGTATAACATTGTCTTATTTCCATTATATTTAAGTTCATTGAAGATGTGTTATACATGTGATTCCAAATTATACATACAAAGTACCTGAAATAGTCCCTTATTCTATTAATTAGGGTAATAGGGGAAAAGAAACAGATGGAACACTCAAATAATTTAACAAAATTGAATTAATCTTATAGGTTATCTATAGAAATATGGAAAGAGTTCTGAGAACTAAAAAGGGGTAAAATTCAAAGGACTATTGACAGGAGAAAGCTGGAGGAGCTGTAATCATTTTTAGCCTTGAAATGGCAAAGGGAAGGTATAGTGTTTTAAGAGCTCAGTGAGAACTGAAATCAGGGACTAGGGCCTGCCTGATTTAATCTGTCCCCACAGAACAACACAACAGCTACCAAAATATCAATGAGGCAACAAAAGAAAGGGGAGAACTAAGGTGCCAAACTCATTCACTCCTCCTGCCCTTAGTTGTCTGGCTGATGTCTTCTTTGTCTCCAAAAGAAGAATGTTGCAAGTTATCAAAGGTAATAGCAATTGGTTCCAGACCCAAGTATTCTTAATATGCAGCACCATATATTTGCTATTAATAGTTTAACTATCAATATATCCTATACATCAACAATCCAATCTCACAAGATATTATCCCATGGCTGGGGCCATTAATGAGTCCAGTAGACACTTCCACTGGTCCGTTGAGTAAGATGTTTCCAGGTAATGGAGCACTTAGTAAAATTAGAGATTCCATAAGCCTGACCTCATGGGTGCACTTGTTTTAACGTAAACTAAGATTCTTGTTTGGAGGATATGTTGTAGAGGATTCCATGGTGATGATTAAATCATTCTGGAAGTCCTCAAATGATGGTGCTGGAGGAAGAATCTCAGTCAGGAATAGCAAATTGGCATAAAGAATGCACATATATTCCCAATGACCTTAAACTCCTGCCTTCTCTTTGATGGAAGTAGTCCAGTGTAATCAACCAGATACTAGATAGCTGTGGGTCACCTAGGGAATGGTGCCATATCAGAGGCCCACCACTAGCCTTTACTGAAATCAAATTGAACATCCAGCATTAGTAGGCAGATGAGCCTTGATGAAGGGGTATATCATTAATTGTTTAGACCAAGTATACTCTTTGACCTTGACCATTGGCTATTATTCTCATTTTTACCAGGGAAACCAATTTCATGGTGATCTCCTTTCATATCCAGTATACAGAGGACAGACAACTCAGAGCTTTCCTGGATGCTAGGGTTCCACTCACTATATGAAGTTCTACATGCGTCAAAGAGGGTTCTTTGAGTCCGCCCAGTGGACACGGTTAGCGTGCGGCTGAACAAGCTGAATGCAATGGATCCACTTCATCAGTCCTATTGCCCTAAATGTTAGTCTCCTTTTTCCAGTTTACTGGGGTTGTTCTATAATTTTAATTTCATTGATTCTAGACACTGCTATGAACAAGCTTCAAATAACTAACTCAACATTTAAGCCCACTCCTAAGCATCCTAGCTAACACTCTAATTCTTCAATTCTGGATGAACATATCCATATTAAGACATTTAGCCTGATCCCGCTTATATTTTATTCTTCTTGGCTTTATATCCTCAGACTATATTCCTGTACATGCTTTTTAGTCCTCTTTAATGATGCTGTTTAGCAAGATGCTGAATCTTTCATGTAATCACTTTCTCTTCCTGAAGGAAACTTCACTTTAGTTTTTCTCAACTATGCCAGAATCTAACCTTTGGAATATGCCTCAAGAAAATATGAGTGTACATGTCTGAGAAAAAAGTTGTTGTTGAGAATAGTTATTCTCTTGAGATAAGTTCTTTAGGTATAGTCAATAGAAGGTTTTTTTTTTTTTCTTTGGAATGCCAGTTTCCTCAGCTACTGGGGGAGGAATGGATTCTACTAGCAACTAAGCATTAAGGAAGTTTGAATATTTCAATTCTCAGAGGCATCTAAATCTGTCCAAATGGCCTCATCACATGTCTTACATCACATCACTCCTTACCAACTAGTGCCCTCATGTTAGCACAATAATTCTCAAACTCCTTGTCTCATGGTCTTTACCTTTTTAAAAGCTATTGATAACCTCAAAGATCTTTTGTTACTGTAGAATACATATTGCATATTTAATATTTCAAATTGAAATCAGAAAATATTGATATATAAGAATGCACCAACACACATCTCATTCGCTACTAGAACAATGACTTTATTTCATCTATGTAGCTTACTGTTTTTATTTTAAAAATAATTTTGACCTCAGGGACCTTATGAAATATCTTAGGAACCTCCAGTGGTCCCAAGAGCATACCCTGAGATGTGCTGCTTTAGCACAAGAGACGTGTTGGGGTTGCATATTTAGCTGGTATTACAACAATGCAGCCCACACAGTCAGGTTTGGGCACAGGATCTTCAAACTTATCTGTTCTGAGTCACGCAAATTACAAAACTCTTGGACACCAGAGAGTTTGTCTGGCTTTCTACCTGTGCTTTGAATTGAGAGGCCAAAGTCCTAACCTTGTAGTTTTCTTTTTGTAACATTCCCAGTGTAATGAGTAGTTGTTATCCAACCCTTCTTTGCAATCACCACCTTTGCCATGGCAACTAAGGGCTGAACATCTTCATTTTGCACACCTTGCTGTTAGAAAGAAGCACTCCACTTCTTCATAAATTAAATAGTTGTGATGCCCACTGACTACTATAAATTATCAGTGTTCCATCTTTCCCAGGAAGATGGTTATTCATATGTCCATTAAGTATATGATCAACCCAGTACTAGAATTCTTATCACAGGGCTTGTAAGTTTCCTGGGGCCACTTCTGATTCTGTTTTCAGCAGTATCCTGGTTAGAAGAGAGAAGGAACACTTAAAGCTATTCTACTGGAGAGCATTCAGTTAATGAACTATTTTCGGAGGCATGTGAAGGGTTAAGGAAATCATAAGCAGGCAGTGAGACTAGAAGCCATCACTACTGCTAAGCCTGAAATGTCAAGAGAAGAGTTATAAGGAGTGATGTGGTGTAAGACATGTAAGAGCTGGAGCTGTGAAAGAGGCACCACATGGCTAGACCTGTGGCTGATGAGGAACTTTCAGAATCACAACAAGATAGGCAAAGGAAAGAGAATACCTGCCCTGAATCTCACAGTTCCCTTTCTCTGATCTCCTTTTTTTGCCCACCATCATCCGAACCCAACTGGAAGACAGACAGGGCAGAGAAACCACACTGTTCATCTGTAGAGAACAAGTAGCACATAGTGAAGGAAGGAAGAAAAAGTTGACACAGCTTAAATCTTCTATTGATTGATCTGTGAAGACTATATCATATGATAGATTCAAATATTTACATAGTAACATATTTTTTTAAATTAAAGATCCGTGGAAAATATAAAAAAATCTTCATAACTATAAATATAAAATAAGCAAGATACTTTAAGTATAATTTTCATTTTTCAATAGTATTTCTCTAGATGGCATAAATATAGAAATAACTCAATATTAACAGGAAAAATACCTTAAGAAGAATTCAATCTACTTTAATAAAATTTAGTGCCTTATAGCAAACATAGCAGAAATAATGCCTCCTGTGATTGCCTGGCTTGTGGTAGAAAACAAATGGTTCAGTATGATCTTTTTGTTGATGGGAATGATAAAAGCGTTTAGAATAAAAATGTCAAATACACATTAAAGTCTGTAAGTGTTTCAATACATTTAAATCTACCAACAGATTTCTTTATCACATATCTTATAAATAAATGTTCTTATTCAAAAAGAAAAGTTTTCTACATTCCATTCAATAACTATGACTGATTACCTATGTACGGAGCATGATTCCTCTAATTTCTTTCTCTTTGCTATAGCCTATAACATTTTGGGAGTGAAAAGATATGAAAGGTATAAATCCACAAAAGGAACCTATGTATCATAAAATTCTTGGAAGGGGCTGGTAATCTAGGGAGCAAAAAAGCTGCTGTACCTGTTATGATACCAGATTTTCAATATCAAAGCTGCTGCCTGTGCTAGAAATAGCTCTCTCATCAGGCATCCACCTAGCCATTTTGTTTTCCTCTTGTGATGAGTGCAGATTAAATCAATCAGTCAGTGGTAGGAAATAGGCGTGTTTTATTTTCTCAGGTTGAACAACTTTGTCAGCATGACTCTGAGTTTTTACTGACGTAAAAATGTATTTTTAAATACTTGTCAGAAATAGGTATCTGCTAAAAATGAAATATGGGATCACAGTTTGTCAAGACCAAATGTGTTGAGTTCTTGGAGAAGAGTGTGTGCATGTTTGCTTTATATGTGCACAATGGCACTAACAACAACAACAACAATCAAAGGCAGGTTGCAAAATGAGTAAATCAAGTAAATGTTATTGAGCAGGTGGGCAGGGGAGATGTTGAGAAAATGCTGGAAATCATTGCCGAAAGGCAAGGGAATCTTAAAAAGGATTCCAAAAAGTGATTTCTGACTAACGTGTACATCATAAAGGGTCTAAATTTACTACAGAGGAGAGATCATTGAACCATCTGTATCTTCCTTAAATAAAATGCAAAACAGAATTTTGAAGACTCAGAATTAGCTATGAATATTTCTCTCTCTCTGGGTCATAGAATGGAGCTTTATATAGGATACTTCCTTCCCCATGGTCATATTTGACTGTCCACACTGGAAAAGCCAAACTAAATCTCACATCCGAGACACCTGCTGGGGAAATTTCACCTATAAATGGCATCAGAACTGGTTTAGATGGATTTTCTCTACTAGTGAAACTGTCAGAGATCCCCAGTTTCTTGTTGCATTATTTTGTTTCTTTTACAATAGTTTCCTCAGGAAATGTCCTTAGAATTGTCAGAATCTTAGTTTTCAGTATTCTGCTGTATTCTGAGGTCTTCCTTGCCATTGTTTTGGAATCTCTGGTGGCACCTATTGTCTGTAGAATGTGCCATTTTGCCACCTGGCCCCAGCTGACTTTTTCAATCTCAACTCCTGCTTTTTCATTGTTGTTGTTTTGCTTTGTTTTTGCTATTACGTGCTGCATTCTAGCCACAGCAAATGGTATACACACTTCAATATAACATAAACTTCAGTTTGTTAGTCTTTTATTTTGGCATAGCTTTCTTCCCATATGTTCCCAATACACTTGTACTGATCATCACATTATTATTCGGATGTCATAACCATAGATTTCCCAGAAAGAAATTATGTAAATGACATGGCATATATGCGATAGGCATGTATACATGCATGTACATTCTATTCATGTTGCAACTGTAATGACTTGTCTATATCCAGGATAGACTGTAGCATCTAGGGGCAATAACTCTATCTTATTTCACAAAGTACTTTCCAAAGTTCCTGGCACATATTAGACCTTCCTTAAAAATATGTTTATATATAGTTTTTTTCTCAAATTCTGCTAGCTTGTTTAGTTAAACATATAAATTGTACTTTTGAATTAATAAAATGGTTATTAATAATGCATGTGGCATTATGCAAATTACTACAATGTACTAAAGCTTGTTAGGCTAGAAAGTTATAAAAGAGACATCTAACCCTCACTGGGAGGAGCAAGTATCTAAATCCCAGAAACATTAAATATTTAGCTTCAGAAAACTCTAGCAGCTTACATCATGCATTCTTACAAATTTCCACCCAATTTTCCACTGATAAGATAGAGAAAAAGGGGTAATAAGAGATGTATTTTACAGTAAACAGGTAGAGGAAGAAATACAGTACATTTTTATGACAATCATATGAAGCTCAAACCACAGCAGAGATTCTGCCATAAAATTACACAGCATGGAGGAAAAGGGAGACTTCAATAGGGTGCTCCAAACCAGAGGTGAGACCTACAGAATTTGGTTCCTTCTACCACAAAGTGGCCACAGTGGCTAAGGAAGAAATTAAATATTTGGTCCACCTGAGTTTAAAGGTCATCTTGACTCATTTCACTGCCCTCACTGGCCTTTGGAGGACACAAGCCTGCCAGTGTCAAGGCGGTTGTTCAGGTGAGAATGGCAACATTCACAGGTACACAATATCATATGGGCATGGAAAGTGACCTAACAAATTAGATCTCTCCATTTTTTTTTTCTGGTTTGGAAAAGGATATAAAGATGACAAAAGGAAATAAAATGGCATATTATAATAGTCTAATCCCCAGTTTTGCATAAAATACATTCAAAAAACTCTAAGGGGGGGCACCGTTAACTAATTCAGCGCTAGATCCAGTTGTGTATTTAAAAAAAGGCCTATTTTAGTTTATAAATAGATTATAAATTAATAGATATTTTATCATCTTAGGAGTCATCCTGTTCCCTTGGGAAAAAATACGTTTTATATACAAAATAAAAACCCCTAAAGACCATTTCAGGTTGGGTAAAGAGGTCAGGAGTGGATGGACAGAAATCAATATTTAGATGTAATTTCCATCACTGGGGGCCCAAAAGTGAAAGTAAATTTTAACTTCACACTTATTGAGTTTGGCAGCCATGATAATGCTCCACTCAGGTCTCCCCTGCAGAAGACTGGTATTACTATATTGGACTGGTAGCCTGAGCTCTTGAGCTCTGATCTTTCCACAACCCTGTTTTCTCTATCCTCTCACTTTCCTGTGGGCTGATCTCACCAATGACTAAAAAAGGCCATGAAGTGTATAATTTTCTGATGCACAATTTTGGCTCAAAGACTCCCCATGAAACTGGACCAGACCTTTTTAGAGCTACTTGCAATCTGAGATGACCTATCCAACTCTCCCTCCTTATTTCTTCACAGGAATCAGAACTGTATTATACATAGTCTGAGGACTGTCCCATCTTTTCTGACTGCCTCTTCTTGTCCTTCATGTCTAATTCCATCTTGGCTTCCTCTTTTTTAGATGACCTAAACTAGTATGTTAAGTGATTTACCCCTGCTGTATATGAATTATATTTCTTCCAGTACAGAAAATATGTACATTATCTAGTTTGGGGGCTTAAAACTGAACATACATAAAGAGCTCTTTTTTAAAACACACAAAAATATTTAAACCCTGTGTGGTGGGTTCAATGGTGGCCCCCTGCTATTGTCTGAATGTTTATTTCCCCCTACCCTGCACTCTGATTAATATGTTGAAGCCTAATACCCAACGTAACTGTATTAAATGGTGTGATATTTAGAAGGTACTTGGGTCATAAGGGCTCTACCCTCATGAATGTGGTTAGTACCATTCTAAAACAGGCCTGAAAGAGCTTGCTCTCCCCTTCAATCAAGTGAGGACACAGCTAGAAGCTGCCCTCTATGAAGAAGAGATCCTTTATCAGACACCAAATCTGCTGGCATCTTGAATGTGGACTTCTCAGCCTTCAGAATTGTGAGCAATAAATTTCTGATGTTTATGAATTACCCTGGCTGTTTTGTTATAGCTGCATAAATGGACTAAGACACTTCCTCCAAAACGTATGTTCATTTCCTAACCTCCACAACTTTTGAATGTAATTTTATTCAGAAGAAAAATTTATTTCAGATATAATTACATTAAGGATTTTGAGATGAAATCATCGTAGATTATCTGGGTGTGACCTCAATCCAGTAACAGGTATCCTTATGAGATACAGAAGAGAAGATACAGACACAGAAAAGGCCACATGAAGGTGGAGGCAGAGATTTGAAATTATGCAGCTGCAAGTTAAGGAATGCCTAGAGCCACCAAAACTTGGAAAGGTCAGGAAAGGACTCTCCTCTAGAGGCTTCAGAGGGAATGCAGCCCTGAGGATACCTTGATATCGGACTTCTGGCCTCCAAACTGTGAGAGAATACATTTCTGTTATTTTAAGCCACCAAGTTTAAGTTTGTGGTAATTTTTTTCACAACATCCCTAGGAGACATATATACTCTGCTAAAACACAACAGTGACATGATCAGCTTTCCATATCTTTTGGGGACTGAAGAGGTAGCTGTAAAGTAAAATAAAAAAAAACCTTGGAGGAGCAAGGCTTAATAAGAGCATCAAAAAGTTTTTAAAAAATTACAAATCATTTCTCACTCATGAACGTACTAAAAAATCTGCAGCAAAATGTTTACAAAGTAAATCCAGAATATTCCAAAGGACAGTACATCATCAGAAAGTAGTGATTACTGATGATTATATCATCAGTAATGTAAGTTGAGTTCAACATTTGAAAATAAATCACACTTTGCTGATGAGAATGTAAAATGCTACAGCCACTTTGGAAAACATTTGACTCAAATAAATGGAGAAATACGCCCCATGTATAGATTTAAAGACTCAGTATTATTAAGATGCCAGTTCTCTTCTATTTGATCTATAGATTTACAAAATCCCAGCAAACTTTGTGGAGAATTTGAGTGACTGATTCTAAAATGTATGTCAATGATATGGAATTGTCATAATGATAAATAAATATATAAATTGAAAAGAAAATAGATTGTCCACGACTAAACCCTAATACATATGTACATATACCATATATATGTTATAATAAATATTTTATATATGTTATATATATATATAAACTATTGTTTCACAAAGGTACTGAGGTTACTTGATGAGGAAGAGATCATCTTTCAACAAATGGTGTTGGAATAATTGTATATTTGTAGAGAAAATTTTGAAATTGAATCCTGTCTCACACTTACACAAACATTAGCTCATGATAGAACACATACATAAATGTTCAAATTAAAACCATAAAGCTTCTGGAACAAAATGTAGAGGAATATCTCTGCAAACAGCACAGGAAAAGATTTCTTTGACAGGACAACAAAAGCACTAAGAATAAAAGAAAAACTTGTTAAAATTGACTTCCGCAAAATTAATAACTTCTGCTCTTCAAATGATGTCATTGAAAAATGAAAACTCAAGCCATAAGCTGGAAGAAAATATTTGTAAGACACATATCTGAAGAAAGACTTATATTCAAAACATAGTAAAGGAAAAATTCCTATAACTAAATAATATAAAATCAAACAAGTCAATAAAGATAGAAATTTAAATTTGAAAAGAAACTTTACTGAGGAGTGTATACAAATGGCCAAATGCATGAAGATGTTCTCAGCATCCTTAAATATCAGGGAAATGCAAACTTAAACCACAGTGAGTTACTGCTATTTACCATGAGAATGGCCAAAATGTTAGAAAGACTGAAAAGTTTCAAATCTTGGCAATGTTGTTGATCAAGTGGAATTTTCATACTTTGCTGATGACAGTGTAAAATGATGCACCCACTTCAGAAAAGCAGTTTCTAAAATGTTAAAGATAAAGCTGCTCTGTAACCCAACAATTATACACCTAGGATTTTCCCAAGAGAAATCAAACATATGTCCATAAAAGTCTTACACAAAAATATTCAGAAATATTTACTCATAAGAGCCCAAACGTGAAACAACACAAATGTCTGTCATCAGGTAAATGATAAATACATTTTGATAAATGCTTCAAAATGGATTACTATTATATTTGGCTATAAGAAGTTATGAACTAATAATATAGATCCAGCAACATGAGTAAATTTTAAAAACTTTTTTTCAGTCAAAGAAATCAGTTACAAAAGGGTATATATTATATTATTCCGTTATTCAAAGTTCTAGAACAGGCTAAATTAATCATAGCGACTTGTTGCTATATCATTTGTTGCTATAATCAGAGAATAGATGAGGGAGAAACAACTAGAAAGCAACATTAGGCAACTTTCTAGGTTTATTAATTTTTTCTGGATTTGGATGGTCATTACACTGTATGTAATTTATCAATATTTATCAAAGTGATACTTAAAATCTGTGTATACTATGATATATAATTTTACCTCACTTAAATATTAAAGTTGGTAAGCAAAAATTTGTCAAACACGAGTATATAAAGTAGGAATTAATACTAAAATGAAGAAAAATAAATCCAGATAGATTACATTTTTAAATAGTTTTATGGTCAATTTAAAAAATATATGTATAATACAAAATTATATAGACTCATTAAAGGTAAACCACAATTTTGGCTCTTAAGCTTTCTAACTGGAAGTGGAAATTGGGGAATTTGATCAGTTAATTCACTGAGTTTTAATGTCCGATCATAGACAATTACCTGGGGAGCTTCATGAAAAACACAAGTTTTTAGGACCTATATCCTCCATGTTCTGATTCAGTAGGTCTGAGGAAAGATCTGAAATTCTGCATTTTGGAAGTTTCTCTTGGTGATTGTGACATCTAGGTTGAAACTTTCTGAGTTACCCAATTTGTAGAATCCGTAAGATAAATTGATTATTTACAAAAACCTCAGCAACTCATGATATTAAAAATTAAAATTAATTTCTTCTGACAATTCTCACAAGGAGGAAACTGTGTAACAAAATATATCCTCAATAGCCTTACAGTCAATTCAGGAACAAGTTTTATAAAAGGCACCTCATAATACAGATTCTTAATACAGGACCTCAATACAAGTCAAGTGTAGGATGGCAACTGTAATTCAGTAAGGGTAGTTATAAAGAGTGGGGTTACTGGATAAACGTCTGTTATGTAACTTATGCTGCTTTAGATTTAGGAGCAGATTTTAGGCCATCCAGAAAAACACAGAAACTGAAGGTTTTTCAGGAAATGCTCCATAAAGTTTTTTTATTTCTCATGAACTTTTTTGTAGACTACTACTGGGTAAAAATGATTTTAAGACTATTTTTTTTGCAAGAACTTGAATCATAACTAATCTAAATTGCCACTTAAATACCATACCAATCAATGTAATTTAAGTCTGTTAATAATAGTTGGCATGGTCTAGTGACAATTAAGGAATGTAAACTAAATTTAAGGTTGGTTGTTGTGAATTTTAATCAGGAATCAGACATAAATAGCCAACTTATATTTAGTACTTGCAGCATGCCCCACAGAAAAGTGGTAGTTTTGTTCCCTTCAGGAACAGGCGTCTGCCTTTCTACACTCATTTTTCAAAAGGTTTTCTACGTGAGAGACTTTAATGTTTGAAAGCAAGTAGTCGTGAAGATGACAATTTCACTAAAACCTTTATAAATTGCTTTAAAAGAGTAGCGAGCAACCAAACCCATTTGAAGTAGGAACAATTTGGGGGAGCAGAGATTTTGATATATCAATGAGCAGATTCTATGGTCATATTCATAAATCCTATGTTATTTTGGTGTGTAAAAAAAAAAGGGATTTATTAACCAAGCGTTCGAAAGTTCCAAAGAGGCAAAGAGAAGCTTCTAACTTATTAAAATGATTCTCTTCATCTTCATTCTCCTTTATGACTACCATTAACTTTCTTAATTCACCCCAATTTATCATCTATAAAAAGAGAAATTTAACTAAATGAAAAGAAAACTAATTTATTTTAAGAAACTGCCTTTAGAGCAAAATCATGACCATTAAGACAAATAGATAGCATGATCATATGTTCATCTATCTCTAGAGGGGATACCAGAAAACCACAGAAAAGGGGGAGGTGAATGAGGGGCAAGTGGTGGCTGTGGTCATAGACAGTCTTTCAGGTTTCAATATTTACTGATAGGTCATGATCTACTTTTTGCAGTCCCTTAGATTAGATATTTAAATTTAATGCTGTTTTAAAAATCTGAAAATTGATTTTCTCTTCATTAAATACTACCATAAAGAAATATAACAATTCAATGTATGTAACTTTTCCTCAATAGCTCTCTTAATTACACCTTTTAAGAAACAAAAGCCTCTAATAGGTCTGTTCAATAGTAATAAAATAGCAAAGAAATCAAAAGCTTTGAGCTACGAAAACAACAAAAACAACTGAAATTCTGTGATAGCTATATTAAGGCCTATATTCCCTACATCTTAAACAAAAATATATTTTTTCTCTCAAATTTAAAGTATCTAACTCTGGATCTAGAGATACATACACTTTTAAAAATCTCTTGTTGGCTAAGCAATGAAATGAAGTAAGATGCTTCCAAATGTAAATATCCTAATGGGGCTAGTCAGCTATCACACTGTGAAGCCTCAGCCAACTATAGGTAGGTTTCAGTGGCCCTTGTTCATTCTACCAAATCTATTCCCAATCGTCTAACAGTTATGTCCTCAGAACACCTACATTTCTTGCATTTTTCCTGATTGATCCTGCATTTAGATAAATTGTCCTCTGTCCTAGGACTACTCTCTTTCAAGTAAAATGTTATAAAGAAGACTTTGCAAATGATGCTTCACACAAGAAAATTATCTTCTCAAAGATGTATCAAAATGAGACCTGTCCACTAACTTAATCTTAAGTACTGTAAAGCCAAACTATCCCTGGCAGATTATGAGCAGGTCTATAACTAGTTCCAAAAGATTAAAACAGCATCCAAATAAAGAAATATTTTTTGTATTAAAGCACCTTAAATAAACTACACTAAATTCTTACACCACTAAAGCTAAGTTCCTAGAAAAATAGCAAAAAAAACAGTGCTGAAATAATTGGATTACTTTTAACATATAGTACTATGAGAAAAAATAGGAATTTTTACATCATTATATATGCCTCTCTGCTTTCTTCATATTAAAACAATTACTCAGATATTTTGTATAATATATTTATATTAGACTGTTTTCCCTACCATGGCCAAATCTGCTTTTCCTATTTATTTCTGTTCTTGGGATTAAAAGTGTTACCGTCTACCCATTTTCCCCAATGGGAAACTTCAGAGGCATATTTGATTCTAGCTGTCCATCAGGCTGAACTTCAATCAGCCACTTAATCCTGTTGATTTGGCTTGGATCCCACTGCTACAAACTTCTTTCAGGCCCTAATCGTCTATGTCCTTCATTACTAAATGAGACTCCTCTTGCCCATCTTTCTTCAGTTCATTCAAATCACCAGAGTTCTTTTTTAAAACATTAATCCTGCTGTCTCTTCATTTTTGATAAAATAAAGTACGATATCCTTGGCATAATGTTTAAAACCCTTCTTCTTGTGTCTTATCAACTACCTTTCTTGTCTCCCTCCTAGCACTTCTGTACAGGTCCTCGTGCCCCAGACATAATGAGTTTCACTACTGCTAGAACTAGCTCAGATTTCAAAAATGTTCAATGCTGCTATTTCTGCACTTAGATTATTTGTTTGGTTTTGTACCTGTCTTTCCCACTAGAACATGAGTCCTTCAAGTTCAGAGCCATTTTTTGCTCATATTTTTATGATACACTTAGTGCAATTCCTTGTCCATAATGGGTTCAAAGTATTCATGTTTGAATAGCACCAAAAACTTTGATTTGGGGCAGTCAGTATTGTGTGCTCCTTATCCTGTTATATAACAAGCTTCTCAATGACTGTTCCTTTTTATTATGGTTTGTTTTACTTTGGCAATAAAAGTAAGTTAGCAGCGAGGGGAGAAGTAAAAGCCTGTAGCTGTGGGTGATGCTTTGGGAACAGGGTAGGGTTGGATAGAAACTGTACAGTTTGATTGTGGGCTCTGGATTCGAGCTCCCTGACTTTGAATTTCAACTCTATAATTTACCTTTATTTGACTTGAAAAAGTTATATGGACAATCAATGCCTCATTTTTAAAAAAATGGGAACCATTCAACACTTTAGAAATATCTTTTAGATACTGAGCTCTATTCTAAGTGTTGTGGATAGAGTGGTAAAGAAAACAGATACATTCTATGCCCTTAAACACTTTATGTCCTAGTAATCATCTCAAAGATTTGTTGTGAGAATTAAGTGATATAATAGATACAAAGCACTTTGCCCAGTGCCAGGGACATGACAAATGCAGAGTAAATGTTATCCATCATTAACACTATCATTAATTAGTGATAGCAGCATCATTATTATTTTTAGATGGATAGGTATGGAGATTGTATTAGTCCCTTCTCATGCTGTTAATAAAGACGTACCTGAGGCTGGGTGATTTATAAAGGAAAGAGGTTTAATTGACTCACAGTTTAGCATGGCTGGGGAGGCCTCAGGAAACTTACAATCATGGCAGAAGGGGAAAGAAATACCTCCTTCTTCACATGGTAGAGGCAAGGAGAAGAATGAGTGCCCAGCGAATGAGGAAGCCCCTTATAAAACCATCAGATCTCATGAGAACTCACTATCACGAGAACAGGTTGGGGGAAATCATCCCCATGATTCAAAGATCTCCACCTGGTCCCTCCCACGACATGTGAGGATTATGGGAACTACAATAGAAGATGAAATTTGGGTGGGGATACAGCCAAACCATATCAGAGATTATAAAGCCAATGTGTCCATTGCTTCTTCTATGCTAGCCCTCAGAAGTCCTATTTTATATCACCTTTTCTGCAGGTGGTTCAGCCCACTATATCTTCCTGCAACCTAGGATTCATTAGCTTTGATAGTAAAATTATGGGAAGTTTTCAGCAGAGACAAGTAGTATTACCCAGACCACGTTTCCTTGATGTTGAATCCATGCACCTGTTTTATCTGCTTTGCTTTTCTCAGTGCTTCTGTGAAACTCTTGGTTTCCATATGCAATGCCTTCTGAATTCAAGGTTTCACCTGCCCCTTCACTTTATGTCTTACGTGTCCCACTTCTCATGTCCCTGCTGGCTCACCTGGTTTCACTCTCACAGCTGGCCCTGGCCTCCAGTATCTCTGGTGCCTGAGTTTTGTCACTGCCTTGATTTTAAAACATTACCTTCTCCTGCGGCTTGTTATTTCGTGTTCAGCCCATTGAATAACAACCCAGTCAATGATCATCAAACCAGCCTAATTAAACATTATCTTGGCTCTCATGATACCAGGTGTCTACTTTAACCATACACTTTCACCTTAATAGTAACACCAGTTGAGGGTTTACTAACTGCTGTGCATATAACAACACAATAATCATAACAGCATGCCTTTGAAGTAGGTACTATGACTAGTTTCCTTTCACAGATAAAGAAACTGAAGTATAGAAAAGTTAGACAATTTGCCAAAGTTTTATAGTTACTAAGCTACAGAGCTGGGATTTGATTCCATTCAGTCTGGCTCTAGAGTCTGTGTTCTAAGTCATCACGAACTACTGTTTCTCACCTGACAGGATGACAGAACGGAACTTCACAGCCTAGATTTTACATATAATTTAAGTGAGTTTCATTCCTGTCAGATGGTGTTTAAAAATACTGTGTGGTAGATATTTGTCATTTGGGACCATCCAGTATCTCTTTCTACTTCCCACTAGAACCCTGAGATTTTCTTAAAGTTTATCTTACCCATGGTGAATAGTCTTGGAAGGAAAATGACTTAGGATGCTTTGATCTCCCCATCAGAAGCTGAAGGGGCAGCATGCGTCTCTTCCTTTCATAGTCTTTTATTTCACTTCATTGATATAAACAAGATGTGTCCAATTGACCTAAGCTCCTCCAGTGAGATTCGTTCTGAGGACTTTGAAATTTGAGTTAAATGTCAAAAAGTGAGGAGAAAAGGAAAAGCAGAAAAAACATCCACCTCTGGCCATTTATTTATTCAGTCCAGCAATGGTGCCTGAGTGAGCAAGAGCTTGCTGTGGAGACCTTCTCTACATGCAAAATTCCTTTCCTTTCAAGCCTGGTTTTGCAGCTCTCCCTTCAGTCCTGTGAGGGTCTTCATATCCTTCTAATCAACTATTTTTCTACTTTAATTACACAAAGCTGGTTTCTGTTGCTCTTCAACTATTATATTTTATAGATATAGAATAATTAGCAATCCTAGGACTGCCACTTTTCATTAGGTAGTATTTTTCACATGCTTATATTTCTGTCCTCCCTGTTTGGGTTGCTGATATTGGCTGCCTCAAAGCCCCATGTGATCATTTTGAAAAACTGATAAAGGTCAAAAAATAATGCCAGACGAGAGGAAATATCAACTGTGAAAAATATACAGAATATCCACCAATATTTGGAAAACAACAATCCTTTTCAGGCAGCACCAAATAGGAAATTCGGCAGAATTTAACTAAGATAGCAGGTCACAGACTCAGATCTATATATGTGTTGAAGAGTGGGTGTTAAAATGGCTTTCATTTCTGAAATGTGAACTCCAAATTCCACACTTGGAAGCGAATTAGAAATCTTCTGCCTGTAATTAGAAAATCTCTTTTCACAGAATTCAGCATGGTGAAGCCTCAGTGATCAAACAGACAAGCCTCCCTCAAAACTGCTAACTCTGTTGGGCATTCATTATTCTAGTTAAATGCTGAGTGGCCATAATTACCTGCTTAGTAGACGGTGCACTTGCTGCCCACTCAAACACATTAGGCTTGTCACAGGCTTTGGGAGCAGCAGAGGATCCTTCACCCCATTATTTATAAATGGTGATGTTTCCAAATTTACTAGATAGCTGTTTTAAACAGCTTTGAAGAAAAGGCAGTAATAGTGATCTAGCATTAATTAGTATTAATATTTCTCCATGAATTGCTTTGCCCTTATATTTTTGATCTCTTAAAGCCTCCCTTGAGTAAAAGCAGTATTGGTTTCTAAAGTAATTCTCTCACTAAGATATAGGCTTAGAAAAGAGAAAAAAATTTAACATCGTGATACAATTTAAGACTTAAAATACTGTACACATGTTTACACAATTACATAAGTACACAGGTATACGTTAACTTAGAAGGCGAGATACAATAATAGATAAAATAACTTTCTTTTACCAAATAATTGGAGGTTTAATCATTAAAGCATGATTCATTATATAACATAAAAGTATAAGTGACAGAAATCGAGAAAATGTAGATGTTGATCTGTTTTTCATAAATTCCTTTGGAGGATATAGAGCATCTCACTTATGTTTGTATCTGCACAGTGACTCTTCTATTTGGGGCAGTTAGGAAATGCTTGTTAAATGGATGGGTAAATATTTTGTATTTTATAATGCTATAAAATTATTTTAATATTAATGAAGCCTCCTAAGCAAAAATAAAATAACCCCTATGATCACAACTTGAATTCAAGCTAGATATATTTTTATAAGTTTCTCAGGATAATATACAAATAAATCTAGGTGGCAACTAGTACCTTCTCATACTCTGGAACATAAACCAAGATAAACAATTTCTTTGGAAAGGAGAATCTATTTGTTTAGACTCTATAATATTGAGAGGTGTATCCAGGGAACTATCCTTCAAAGTTCATACCACAGAAATTTAAATATGAGAATTTAAATATAATAATAGGTCATATTATGTTATGTTCATTAATGGAATATAATGTTAACTTATGAGTATCCTGATTTGTTGAAACTTTAAATTGAACCATAGATATTACCCTCTTATAGATCATAAATGGTCAAATGTAAACAATTTTATTAAAAGTAAGCCATCTTTATCCAATAAGTAAAAGAATAACACAAGACAACTAAAGGGAAGCTTCTTCAGAATACTTTAAAAAAAGAAACAGAGGTGGCTGGCAAGATGGTCAAATAGGAACAGCTCTAGTCTGCAGCTGCCAGAGAGATCAACAGAGAAGGCGGGTGATTGCTGCATTTCCAACTGAGGTACCCAGCTCATCTCATTAGGACTGGTTAGACAGTGGTTGCAGCCCATGGAGGGCGAGCTGAAGCAGTATGGGGCGTTGCCTCACCTGGGAAGCAAAGGAGCTGGGGAACTCCCTCACCTAGCCAAGGGAAGCCGTGAGGGACAATGCCTTGAGGGACAGTGCATTCCAGCCCAGATACAATGCTTTTCCCATGGTCTTCGCAACCCGCAAACCAGGAGATTCCCTTGGGTTCCTACGCCACCAGGGCCCTGGGTTACAAGCACAAAACTGGGCGACCATTTGGGCAGACACCAAGCTAGCTGAGCTAGCTGCAGGAGTTTATTTTCATACCCTAGTGACACCTAGAATGCCAGTGAGACAGAACCGTTCACTCCCCTGGAAAGGGGGCTGAAGCCTGGGAGCCAAGTGGTCTAGCTCAGCAGATCCCACTCCCACAGAGCCCAGTAAGCTAAGATCCACTGGCTTGAAATTCTCACTGCCAGCACGGCAGTCGGAAATTGACCTGGGATGCTCGAGCTTGGTGCAGGGAGGGACATCTGCCATTACTGAGGCTTGAGTAGGGGATTTTCCCCTCACAGTGTAAACAAAGCTTCCAGGAAGTTCAAACTGGGCCAAGCCCACTGCAGCTCGGCAAAGCCACTGTAGCCACACTACCTCTCTAGATTCCTTCTTTCTGGGCAGGGCATCTCTGAAAGAAAGGCAGCAGCCCCAGTCAGGAGCTTATAGATAAAACTCCCATCTCCCTGCGACAGAGCACCTAAGGGAGAGGGTGGCTATGAGCATAGATTCAGCAGACTTAAATGTTCCTGCCTGCTGGCTCTGAAGAGAGCAGTGGATCTCCCAGCACAGTGCTTAAGCTCTGCTAAGGGACAGACTGCCTCCTCAAGTGGGTGCCTGACTACCATGCCTGCTAACTGGGAGATACCTCCCAGTATGGGCCGACAGACACCTCATACAGGAGAGCTCTGGCTGACATCTGGCAGGTGCCCCTCTGGGATGAAGCTTCCAGAGGAAGGAACAGGCAGCAATCTTTGCTATTCTCCAGTCTCCGGTGGTGATACCCAGGCAAACAGGGTGTGAAGTGGACCTTCACCAAACTCCAGCAGACCTGCAGCTGAGGGGCCCAACTGTTGGAAGGAAAACTAACAAACAGAAAGGAATAGCATCAATATCAACAAAAAGGATGTCCAAACAGAAACCCCATCTGAAGGTCACCAACATCAAAGACCAAAGGTAGATAAATCTACGAAGATGAGGAAAAATCAGCACAAAAAGTCTGAAAATTCCAAAAACCAGAACGCCTCTTTTCCTCCAAAAGATCACAACTCCTTCCCAGCAAGGGAACAAAACTTGGAGAATGAGTTTGAAGAACTGAAAGAAGTAGGCTTCAGATGGTGGGTAATAACAAACTCCTCTGGGCTAAAGGAGCATGTTCTAACTTAATCCAAGGAAGCCAAGAACCTTGAAGAAATGTTAGATGAATTGCTAACTAGAATAACCAGTTTAGAGAAGAACATAAATGACCTGATGGAGCTGAAAAACACAGCACGAGAGCTTCTTAAAGCATACACAAGTATCAATAGCTGACTTGATCAAGCAGAAGAAAGGATATCAGAGACTGAGAATCAACTTAATGAAATAAAGCATGAAGACAAGATTAGAAAAATAATGAATGAGAAGGAACAAACAAAGCCTCCAAGAAATATGGGATTATGTGAAAAGACCAAACCTTCATTTGATTGGTGTACCTGAAATTGATGGGGAGAATGGAACCTAGCTGGAAAACACTCTTTAGGATATTACCCAGGAGAACTTCCTCCACCTAGCAAGACAGGCCAACATTCAAATTCAGGAAATACAGAGAACACCACAAAGATACTCCTCGAGAAGGGTAACCCCAAGACAGATAATTGTCAGATTCACCAAGGCTTAAATGAAGGAAAAAACGTTGAGGGAAGCCAGAGAGAAAGGTCAGGTTACCCACAAAGGGAAGCCCATCAGACTAACAGTGGATCTCTCTACAGAAACCCTACAAGCCAGAAGAGAGTGGGGGCCAATATTTAACATTCTTAAAGAAAAGATTTTCAACCCAGAATTTCATATCCAGCCAAATTAAGCTTCAGAAGCAATGGAGAAATAAAATCCTTTACAGAAAAGCAAATGCTGAGAGCTTTTGTCACCACCAGGCCTGCCTTACAAGAGCTCCTGAGGGAAGCACTAAATATGGAAAGGACAAACCAGTACCAGCCACTGCAAAAACATACCAAATTGTAAAAACCATCAACACTATGAAGAAACTGCATTAACAAAAGGGCAAAATAACTAGCTAGCATCAAAATGACAGGATCAAATTCACACATAACAATATTAACCTTAAATGTAAATGGGCTAAATGCCCCAGTTAAAAGACACAGACTGGCAAATTGGATAAAGAGTCAAGACCCATTGGTGTGCTGTATTCAGGAGACCCATCTCACATGCAAAGACACACATACACTCAAAATAAAGGGATGGAGGAAGATTTACCAAGCAAATGGAAAGGAAAAAAAGTAGAGTTGCAATTCTAGTCTCTGATAAAACAGACTTTAAACCAACAAAGATCAAAAAAGACAAAGAAGGTCATTACATAATGGTAAAGTGATCAATGCAACAAGAAGAGCTAGCTATTCTAAATATATATGAACCCAATACAGGAGTACCCAGATTCATAAAGCAGGCTCTTAGAGACCTACAAAGAGACTTAGGCTCCCACACAATAATAATGGGAGACTTTAACACCCCACTGTCAGTGTTAGACAGATCAATGAGACAGAAAATTAACAACAATATCCAGGACTTGAACTCAGCTCTGGACCAAGCAGACCTAATAGACATCTACAGAACTCTCCACCCCAAATCAACAGAATATACATTCTTCTCAGTACCACATCACACTTATCCTAAACTTGACCATATAAGGAAGTAAAACACTCCTCAGCAAATGCAAAAGAATGGAAATTATAACAGTCTCTCAGACAACAGTGCAATCAAATTGGAGCTCAGGATTAAGAAACTCACTCAAAACCGCACAACTACCTGGAAACTGAACAAACTGCTCCTGGATGACTACTGGGTAAAGAACAAAATTAAGGCAGAAAGAAATAAGTTCTCTGAAACCAATGAGAACAATGACACAACATACCAGAATCTCTAGGACACATTTAAAGCAGTGTGTAGAGGGAAATTTATAGCACTAAATGCCCACAGAAGAAAGCAGGAAAGATCTAAAATCAACACC
This sequence comes from Homo sapiens, assembly GCF_000001405.40. Classification (NCBI taxonomy): domain Eukaryota; kingdom Metazoa; phylum Chordata; class Mammalia; order Primates; family Hominidae; genus Homo; species Homo sapiens. Next base: position 83,344,690 of record NC_000007.14, read on the forward strand.
CTAACATCACAATTAAAAGAACTAGAGAAGCAAGAGAAAACAAATTCAAAAGCTAGCAGAAGAGAAGAAATAGCTAAGATCAGAGCAGAACTGAAGGAGATAGAAACAAAAAACTTCCTTCAAAAAATCAATGAATCCAGGAGCTTGTTTTTTGAAAATATTAACAAAATAGATAGATCAGTAGCCAGACTAATATAGAAGAAAAGGAAGAAGAATCAAATAGACACAATAAAAAATGATAAAGGGGATATCACCGCTGATCCCACAGAAATACAAACTACCATCAGATAATACTACAAACACCTCTAAGCAAATAAAATAGAAAATCTAGAAGAAATGGATAAATTCCTGGACATATATACCCTCCCAAGACTAATCCAGGAAGAAGTCGAATCCCTGAATAGACCAATAATAAGTTCTGAAATTGAGGCAGTAATTAATAGCCCACCAACCAAAAAAAGCTGAGGACTAGATGATTTATAGCCAAATTCTACCTGAGGTACAAAGAGGAGCTGGTGCCATTCCTTCTGAAACTATTCCAAGCAATAGAAAATGAGGGACTCCTTCCTAACTCATTTTATGAGGTCAGGATCATCCTCATATCAAAACCTGGTGGAGACACAACAAAAAAAGAAAATTTCAGGCCAATATCCCTGATGAACATCGATGCGAAAATCCACAATAAAATACTGGCAAACAAAATCCAGCAGCACATCAAAAAGCTTATCCACCATGATCAAGTCAGCTTCATCCGTGGGATGCAAGGCTGGTTCAACATATGCAAATCAATAAACATAATCCATCACATAAACAGAACCAATGACAAAAACCACGAGGTTATCTTAATAGATGCAGAAAAGGCCTTTGATAAAATTCAACACCCTTTCATGCTAAAAACTCTCAATAAACAAGGTATTGATGGATCATATCTCAAAATAATAAGAGTTATTTATGACAAACCCACAGCAAATATCATAGTGAATGGGCAAAAACTGGAAGCATTCCCTTTAAACTAGCACAAGACAAGGATGCCCTCTCTCACCACTTCTATTCTGCATAGTATTGGAAGTTCTAGCCAGGGTAATCAGGCAAGAGAAAGAAATAAAGGGTATCAAATAGGAAGAGAGGAAATTGAATTGTCTCTGGTTGCAGATGACATGATTGTATATTTAGAAAACCGCACATCTCAGCCCAAAAATCTCCTTAAGCTGATAAGCAACTTCAGCAAAGTCTCAGGATACAAAATCAATGTGCAATAATCACAAGCATTCCTATACACCAATAATAGACAAACAGAGAGCCAAATCATGAGTGAACTCCCATTCACAATTGCTACGAAGAAAATAAAATACATAGGAATAAAACTTACAAAGAATGTGAAGGACCACTTCAAGGAGAACTACAAGCCACTGCTCAAGGAAATAAGAGGACAAATGGAAAAACATTCCATGCTCATGGATAGGAAAAACCAATATTGTGAAAATGGCCATACTGCCCAAAGTAATTTTATATTCAATGCTATCCCCATCAAGCTACCATTGACTTTCTTCACAGAATTAGAAAAAACTACTTTAAATTTCATGTGGAACCAAAACAGAGACTGTATAGCCAAGACAATCCTAAGCAAACAGAACAAAGCTTAAAGCATCATGCTACCTGATTTCAACCTATACTACAATGCTACAGTAACTAAAACAGAATGGTACTGGTACCAAAACAGATATATAGACTGATGGAACAGAACAGAGGCCTCAGAAATAACGCCACACATCTACAACCATCTGATCTTTGACAAACCTGACAAAAACAAGAAATGGGGAAAGGATTCCCTATTTAATAAATGTTGTTGGGAAAACTGGCTAGCCATATGCAGAAAACTGAAACTGGATCCCTTCCTTACATCTTTTACAAAAATTAACTCAAGATGGATTAAAGACCTAAGCTTAAGACCTAAAACCATAAACTCTCTAGAAGAAAACCTAGGCAATACCATTCAGGGCATAGGCATGGGCAAAGACTTCATGACTAAAACACCAAAAGCAATGACAACAAAAGTCAAAATTGATAAATGTGATCTCATTAAACTAAAGAGCTTCTGCACAGCAAGAGAAACTATCATCAGAGTGAACAGGCAACTTACAGAGTGGGAGAAAATTTTTGCAATCTATCCTTCTGACAAAGGGCTAATATCCAGAATCTACAAGGAACTTAAACAAATTTACAAGAAAAAACCAACCTCATCAAAAAGTGGGCAAAGTATGTGAACAGACACTTCTCATAAGAAGACATTTATGTGGCCAAAAAACATATGAAGAAAAGCTCACCATCCCTGGTAATTAGGGAAATGCAAATCAAAACCACTTTGAGGTACCATCTCATGCCAGTTAGAATGGCAATCATTAAAAAGTCAGGAAACAATAGATGCTGGAGAGGATGTGGAGAAATAGGAATGATTTTACATGGTTGGTGGGAGTGTAAATTAGCCAACCATTGTGGAAGACAGTGTGGAGATTCCTCAAGGATCTAGAACCACAAATACCATTACTGGGTATACACCCAAAGGTTTATAAATCATTCTACTATAAAGACACATGGACACGTATGTTTATTGTAGCACTGTTCACAATAGCAAAGACTTGGAACCAATTCAAATGCCCATCAATGATAGACTGGATAAAGAAAATGTGGCACATATACACCATGGAATACTATGCAGCCATAAAAAAGGATGAGTTCATGTCCTTTGCAGGGACATGGATGAAGCTGGAAACCATCATACTCAGCAAACTAACACAGAAACAGAAAACCAAACACCGTATGTTCTCATTCCTAAGTGGGAGTTGAACAAGGAGAACACATGGACACAGGGTGGGGAACGTCACACACCGGGGCCTGTCAGGGGTCGGGGGGCTAGGGGAGGTATAGCATTAGGATAAACACCTAGTGTAGATCATGGGTTGATGGGTTCAGCAAACCACCATGGCACGTGTATACCTATGTAACAAACCTGCACATTCTGCACATGTATCCCAGAATTTAAAGTATACAATAAAAAAGAAATCATTTCCCCTCATTATTCAAAAACTATACAGTATTTACATCTATGTGCAAAACACTGATCTATGTGATATACAAATATGACTCAAGAAACTGAGAAACAACTCAATAAAGAACATATCAATTATTGACATCTATATAAAACAAGTATATTATGAGGCACATTATGGCACAATATAGTTAGTCTCATGAAGAAAGCATAAGAAAATTCTTATAGCTGAGCGGAAAGAAATCACGCTGGGCTGTCAGCCACATGTAAAGCTCATAGCAATTGTTATCTCATAGCAATCTACAGGACAATAAATTGTCCTAAGCCAAGGGTCATAAAAAATGAGGACTTCAACCCATTCTTATCTAGATCAGCTGTGGACACCTCTATAAGAAGATTCAGTTCTCAGAGTCCTCCTTCTCCACTAATAGACCTTAACAGATTTCTTATTCTGCCACTTAGTCTATCTCAGAGAAGGATGCTGGTGAATTTCACAGAGCTGAGTCACAGGCACATTCTGCAAAGCAGCTCCTCCCCTTATCTGACAGTCACGAGGCACTTACTAGAAAGCAGTCTCTGGTTTATACCCTTTCTATTATGATAACTGTCGAAATAACCAGCTCATTACAGAGCCCACTCACGTGAAAAATTCACAGCCAGACCTACTTATTAAATCAGAGCAAAAGGAGGGCTGCTCTTATTCCTGTGCCCAGGTCACTCTAAGCTATATTTATATTTCAAATTCAATCTATCTCTAAATGAAAGACAAAATGGTATATTTAGAAGAAGTCTATGAAATATCTCTTTTTAAACCTTAAAAGAGTAATTTTTTTTATTGGATTTTTGCTCTTGTTGCCCAGGCTGGAGCGCAATGGTGTGATTTCAGCTCACTGCAACCTCCGCCTCCTAGTTTCAAGCAATTCTCCTGTCTCAGCCTCACAAGTAGCTCGGATTACAGGCATGCGCCACCACGTCCAGCTATTTTTTTTTGTATTTAGTAGAGACGGGGTTTTACCATGTTGGCCAGGCTGGTTGCGAACTCCTGACCTCGGGTGATCCACCCACCTCAGCCTCCGAAGTGCTGGGATTACAGGCATGTGCCACCGTGCCCGGCCTAAAAGAGTAAATTTTCAAAGAACATGATCCTAAAACTGCCTTTAGCATGATTTTTTATTAAGAACATTGACCTGGTTTATAACCAACTAAAGGAATGACAGTTTAGGCTCAGATGTTTTTAGAAACTGCACATAACTTTTATCCTGGAAACATGTAGTGAACCCTGATTGTACTACGTATGTATTTTTCTTCTCACCATTGCCTTCCCAGGGATACGGCTAGTAGCATTCTAAAGAAAATTGTATTATTGCTCTGCCTTGTAAAGTCAACTGCTTACAGTTGAAGGATTCATACCCAGTGGTTTTAAGACTTACTCCCTGACACACCAAGAAGTAAGGAAAAAATTTTACTCAGGTCCTCATGTGAGCCATGAGATGTTAAGGGAGTATAGTATGTAGGTTAAACCTGGGGCTCTGAGGTCAATCTTACTGAGTTTGAACCCCAGGTCTACCACTTACTTCTCTGCAGTAAAATGGGTGGTAAAAGTCCTCCCACTTGGGGTTGGAGGGAACATTAAATGAGATATTGCATGCATGGGGCCTTGTCCATTGTAAGTGCTAGCCATTGACAAAGAACCTCTGAAAGCACTCTTCATACAACCCCCTTTGCTGGGAAAAAGGTTTCATCTACCAAATCTCCTAGGAAAGTTGAATTGCTTCTTGTCTACTTTTCTGATATTTTGTAAGTAACAACTCCTAATAAAACAATTTACCTGAGCAAATGGGTACTATGTTAGAAGACTAAATCCTTTCTGTATTCTAGGGGTCATATGAACATTAGCAATGTTTTAACTGAAATGCCTGGGAGAAGGACTAAGTTACTCTGGTAAGAATATAAAAGAGGTGTGTTTTGTCAGGGTGAATATCACATTGCAAACATGGCTGTCTGCTTGCATTGCTACTGAGGGCTGACACTAAAAGCAATATTACTGTTCTAAAGCTCATTAGTTTTCTTAAAAATACCATCAATCAAGCTCGGTGAGAAAGAGGAAGAGATGATTCTGCCAGATGTGTTTATGTTAACATAATATTGGCCAGAGAAAGCACTGTTCCAGAGAAAATGTGAGGCTCAGCCTGGTATCAGTGTCAGAGTTTGAACATGTTTCATGATAGCCTCCACTTGATTAATGGTATTATTTTTGGCATAGCAGTCTTGAGCTTCTCACTCACTATGTGCTCAGAGGTCTTCAAATCTCTTTATTAATGAAGAACATGATTTAACTAGTGCAAAAATGGAACCCCAAAACACAGAGGCTTAAATAATATAACACTTTATTTCTTTCTCACATAAAAGTTTAAAAGTGAAGAGTCCAGGACTAATGGGGTACACTTGATACTCTCAACATGAATTCCAGATGGGGTCCAAGGCAGCAGATCCAATGCATACTACTTCTGCCAGCAGTGAAAGGAAAGAGGAGAAACAAACAACTTCTGTTGTAGGAAATATTCCTCATGTAATTTCTGCTTATGTTTTAATTAGCCTGAGAGAAACCAAATCTCTCTACCTAGCTGCAAGGGAGTCTAGCTTATTGTCTGTGTGTCCAGCTGTAAGTGACATGATTCCATTATTGCAAGGAAGAGAGAGCAAATGAAAATTGGGGATGAGCATCAACTTCTAGTACAGGTTCCTCACACAAAGTCAATAATTTAGTTTCTATTGCATTCATACTTGCTTTGCTCAATAAACTTTTTCTATGAACCATTCTAGCTATAATTGTCACCATGGGAAAATCCATTTCTTGTACTTATTTTCCTCTTTACACTTTTGCTATTGGTGGTACCTTTCCCTAAATCATATTTAGCTCTCAAAATCCTATCTTTTTTAAGACTGTGAAGGCTTATGTCTAGGTGTGCAATAATCCAGGACCTTGCCTTAAAGGAAAACAATATAGAAGTAAAGTAAGCCAAATGGGACCTGTTTACTAGGGCAAAGAGCTGGAAGCCACCACAGTCAGGGCAGTCAGACAACCCAACAGGCTAAACAAATATCAGGATCTTCTTAACTAGCAGGGCATAGCTTTAGGTAAGCTCAACATTTTGGCTATGTCTAGTTAAAAACTAACACAGAGTGTTAGAATAATTAGATTTTTCCCTTAGAAAATGAGCCCAAGAAAATATTTAGAGGGAGTGGGTAAAAGAATGTGTAACACTGTAATTTCTTTACTTTCTGGGACAGCCAAGAAAGTAAGCTGCTTGGGACTCTACAAATAGTAGAGTCAGCTTATGGACTCTATTAAGACTTTCCCAGGGCAACATTGTGATTGGATGTGGTGAGAATACTTGATCCTGGCCATGCCTCTCTTTTTTCTCTCCTCCCAACTTTATAGAGGTATAATTGGTATATAAAAACTGCACATAAGTAATGTATACAATTTATGAGTTTGGACATATGTATGCATTCATGTTACCATTACCACAATCAATGCAATAAACAAATTCATAGCCTCCAAAAGTTTTTTAATCTCCCTGTTTTTTTTGGTGGTAAAAATACTGGACATGAGATTGAGATTGACCATTTTAAAAAATTTCTAAGTGCACAATATTTGTTCTTAATTATAGGCATTATGTTGTACAGAAGATCTCTGGAAGTACTTATCTTGTATAGTCTAACTGTAACTTCATACCCATTGAACAACATCTTCCCATATCCCCCTCTTCTCAGCTCCACCATTCTATTGTCTGCTTCTATATGTTTGACATTTTAGATGCCTCAAACAAGAGGAATCATGTAGTATATGTCTTCTACATGTGGTTTCTTTCACTTAGCATTAATGTCCTCCAGGTTCATGGATATTGTCACATATGGTAAGATTTCCTTCTTTTCCAAGGCTGAATAATATTCTATTGAATACATATATACATGTTTTCTATATTGTCTCATCCATTGATGGGCATTCAGGTTGTTTCCATATCTTGGCCATTGTGGATAAGGCTGCAATGAATATGGGTGTGTAGATATCCCTTAAAGATTCTGATTTCAATATTCTTGGAAATATATCTGGAAAGGGAGTATAGGCTAGATCATATGGTTGTTCTATTATTAATTTTTTGAGGAACCTGCACACTGCTTTTTGTCATGACTGTACCATTTTATATTCCCACTATCAGTGTACAAAGGTTCCAACTTCTCCACAACGTTGCCAACACTTGTTATCTTTTGTTTTGTTTTTTTTTAATAATAGCCATGCTAATAGGTGTGAGATGATATCTCATTGTGGTTTTGAAGTACATTTCCGCGATAATTAGTGATGTTGAGCAAATTCTCATGTACCTGTTTGCCATCTGGATGTCTCTTTGGGAGAAATGTCCATTCAAGTCCTTGCCCATTTTTTGAGTCAGGTTGGTTTGTTGTTGTTGTTGTTGAGTTTTAGGAGTTCCCTATATATTTTGGAAATTAATTCTTTATTATATACACACTTTACAAATTTTCTACCATCCCATAGGTTGCCCTTTCACCCTGTTGATTGTTTCCTTTACTGTGCAAACTATTTTAAGTTTGATGTAGTATCACTTATCTATTTTTGCTTTTGTTGCCTGTGTTTTGGGTGTCATATCCAAGACATCATTGTCAAGACCAATGTGAAGATGATGTTTCCAATTTTTTATAGAAGTTTTACTGCTTCGGATCTTATGTTAAAATCTTTAATTCATTTGAGTTAATTTTTATGTGTGGTATAAAATAAGAATCTAATTTTGTTCTTTTGTATATAGATAAGTAGTTTTCCCAACACCAATTATTGAAGAAACTATCATCCTTTCCCCATTGTGCATTCATGGCATCCTTGTTGAAAATCAGTTGACCATACATGAGTGAGTTTATTTCTGGGCTTTCTATTTTGTTCCATTGGTCTGTATGGCTGTTTTATACCAGTAGCATATTGCTTTGAATATTGTAGCTTTATCATATATTTTGGAATCTGGAAGTGTGACACCTCCAGCCTTATTCTCATTCAAAATTGCTTTGGCTATTCTGAGTCTTTTGTGGTTTCATATGAATTTTAGGATTGTTTTTGTCTGTTTCCATTAGAAGTGTCTTTGGGATTTCGATAGGGCTTGTAATGAATCTAAAGATTACTCTGACTTATATAGATAGTTTAACAGTATTAATTCTTCCAATCTATGAGCATTGGAGGTCTTTCCATTTATTTGTTTCTACTTCAGTTTCTTTTATCAGTGCTTTATAGTTTTCAGTATACAAGCCTTCCACCTTCTTGGTTATGTGTAATCCTAAGTATTTTCTTTCTTTTTTGTTTTCCAACTTTATTGAAGTATAGATAACAAAATTGTACATATTTAAAGTGTACAATTTAATGATTTAATATATATATATATACATTGTAAAATACGCACCACAATCAGGCTTATTAACATATTTATCACCTCACATAGTTACCTGTGTGTGTGTGTGTGTGTGTGTGTGTGCGTGTATGCTGAGAACACTTATCACCTACTCTTTGCAAATTTTAAATATAAAATACAATATTTTTAACTATAGTCACATTATTATACATCAGACTTCCAAAATTTACTCGACTTGCATAACCGAAATTGTATTTTTTTGCATTATTTTATTATATTCCTTTTGATGCTGTCGTAACTGTGATTGTGTTAATTTCTTTTTCATATAGCTTTTTGTTGGTGTATATAAACACACTGGATTTTGGTGTGTTGATTTTATTTCTTATAACTTTAGTGAATTTATTACTTCTAATAATTCATTTTCTGTGGATTTTTAGAGATTTCTACATATGAGATCATGCGATCTGCAAGCAGAGATAATTTTTCTTCTTCCTTTTTGATTTATATGAATGACTTTTGTTTTACTTGCCTAATTGTTCTATCCAGAATTTCCAGTATAAGATTGAATAGAGGTGGTGAGAGTGAGCATTCTTGCCTTGCTCCAGATCTTAGAGGAAAAGGTTTGACGTTTTCACTGTTGAGTATGATGTTAGCTGTGGACTTTGTGTATATGGCCTTTATTGTATTGAGATAAGTCCCTTCTCTACGTAATTTATTGAGAATTTTTATCATGAGAGGGTAGGCTAAAGTCCCTACTGGATACTTGAGACTTTGTTTGAGGTACATCACAGTCAGAGACCCTTCTTCTGACATATTCTTTGCCACCTCTGTTCCTCTCATAAGTGTCAGAACTGTATCATGCTCTTAAGGTATTTATCTGGCCACCTCTCCTCACTCTTTCCTTTATCTTTTATAAGCATTCCTTTCAATCATACTTTTGCAATTATGATTCCATCCTGGTGTCTACTTTCTGAAGAACCTGCACTGACTCCACTCCTATTGAAGTTTTCAAGAACTAGTTATGGAAGGATGTCTGAGAACGCATTCTATGGCATAGGGAAGATACTCCTATCTGATGCAAAGTCTTAGCATAAGGGATTCCTGAGAAAGAAGAATATTGCATAGGTTAAGAAAAGAAAATCCCATTCTTTATGGCCTGGGGAATTGTGAACAGAATATAGATGTAGGACAGGCAAAGTGGCAGGAGCATACATGAACATTCTGTTGGGAGAGTCAATCCATTATGGGAAATGAATATTCCTGCGTATTCTTGCAGGATGTGGCAAGAATGTAAACACTAATATACAGTTACTTGGGCCACCTCTCAGCATTATATTGGCTGCAAGAAATCTAGAAAGATGATATGAACTATTTCTACAGAAGAAAGACAAGGTTTAATATAAAAGCAGCAGATTCCCCAAGATCAATTTTTATCAGCTGTGAATCCAATCCATTGTGTGTTCAGTATTTACCTGGGCCATTTTTTTTCCACCTCCATAGAACTTGGGTGACAAGAGAAACCAGTCCCAGCATGATACTCATGCTGCTTGTTGTGTTATTATTCCTCTGTGTCTGGTCCAAGAACCTTGTGTCTTCTGACAGCACCTGCATTAGTAATGTAACAGGCTAGCTTAATAACTTCTAAGTAGAGCAAAATCCTAGGTATTGATCATTCTCCCTCTCCATTGCTTCACAGCCCCAAGCCATAAAAAATGAGCAATTAGGAGATGTTCCTGCAGGTAGAAGAACCCACATCTCATATAAAAGAAACGGAGACGGCTGCCTTATAAATGATCCATACATCAACTTGGGACTAGGTCTCATTAAAGAAACCTAGTGGCACAGGGAGAGGTTAAGTGGACAGAGGTCCGGACATTAACTCGTAAAATGCACATGATTTTCCATGAATTGAAGAAAATTACCAGAAATTCTTGTGCCCTCTGTGGAGAAAAGTAAAAGGAAGCCAAAGATACTGGCAGTTAACTCATCAGAAAAGGCAATGTAGTACTACAAGTAGACTCTCTGGGCTGAACATTGAGTGAGGGGCATAGACAGATATTAGAGTAACTTACTACCAGAGATTTTGGGGGTTGAGTCATCAAGATCTTGAGAGAAAATGTTTGGCATTGTAATTCAGCTGAAGATTCTGGGATCCCAAGGGCACCCTAAGGCATGACTTGGAAACGAAGATACAGTCATTCACAATGACACATGATCACGTAAGTCTTCCTTCCCACATATCCCTGGGTGCTCCTGAGAGAATTTGGGTCGAGATAGCACTTGTGAGCATTAGTGAGCAAAAGGGATTGAGGCCAAACTGAAAGGACTGTCAAAGTCATGTCATCATACTAAATTGTAATCAAAAGTGCTAAAAAGTGTTTTTCCTAATATCTAGGTTCTGGAAGCTTGTTAAAAAGACCCAGGCATTGACATAGACAGTAAATAATCACGTTTTCTCTGCTTGTCTGCACTGCCATGTGAGTGGATTTGTGTCTCTATCTTATAACATGCCAGGAGATGAGGATCACAAGGTAAAAAAGTAAAATCAGCTTAATTTAATCAGTGAGTTTTCTCAGTTTGTGCATAGCATAGAACACATGAGAGGTAATGCAGGAGCCTTGAATGTCAGCAAAGAAGTTTTGGTTTCATTCAGTACAAAAAGTAGAGCTTTTGGAGGGTTTTTTTAAGGATAATTAGTAATAGAATTTGAAGAAGTTTCCTCAATTAAAAATATATCTATACTTACATATGCCAAAAGGATTAGAAGAAGAATTACATGAGGCAGGAGATTGCTATTAAAAGCCTGCATTGAGGCAGTCCTTTGGTGCAGAAATAATTTTTTACATAATGCAAAGAAAGCCTTGTACTCTATGGAATATAATATCTACCACATGCCTCAAAGTTAGATAATGAAGAAATATATGTAGCATAACAAATAGTGATCTCCTCAATAAAGTGCGTTCATTTCTCATTTATGGATTCTCTGAAAACATTCTGTAGTATTCTTCTGCTATTTTGGGCTATATCATAAAATGTGGCAAGATGAATGAAGTTTTAAAGTTTCCTGTTTAGAAATGCTTTGACTGCTTGTCTACGTATAGAATGTGACAAACTGGAATAAATTTACAGTGTTCCAATGTGTGTATTCTACAAATGGAATTAATTAATTGAAGAAATGAGACATTCTCACATTTAAAAATAAACTCTAATTTTCAGTTTTCTACCAAGAATATACCTGCAATAACACTCCTGATGGAATAACAATGATAGAATAAACTTCCACTGATGCACAACTTTTACAAATGAGTTTATATTTGACATATTATTCTAGTCATTATAATACACAGGTTAATAAAGCATATACTAACCAAATAAGAATTTCAAATTGTTGAAGATGACATTGCAGTAAAATATATTAGCATTAAGATTAGTTTGCGTATAATTAAATCTTTGGGAATTTAGATGACATTTTATGATGATATAACATAGGAAATCCTTCAAACCCACGCCCAAAGGAGTAAGTTGCATTCCTTTGCAAAATAGTCTAACTCAAAAGGTACTACCCCTAAGAAAATAATGTTATAAACAGCTATTGGATTACTTTGAGAGCCCGTAAGAACCTTTTTAGCTGATATGTCCCTGAAATACTTCACCTATAGTAACTAGCTTTCTATGAGTGGAGGCCTCAAATGCAGAAAGAAGAAGGCATTGGAATCAGAGAACTCAGGAAGTGGACAATAGGAGACATAAAGGGGCTCTATAAAGCACATTTAAATTGTACCCCTTTTTCCTGAATAAAGGGCAAACGAAACATAAGGAACATTGTATAATATCCTTGTATTAACTCCTAGTTTCTTTTTCCTTACCCCTAGGAGCACCTTTCTCCTTTGTTACTGTCAATGTCTCAACCTAGGCCTTAATTTTCCCTAAAAGTGTTCTATTCTAAAAGACCAAACACCTATTTATAATTTTCCTCTACTTGTCCCCTCTGCCGCAATCCCCAATCAAAAATGTCCTTTTAGTAGTTCAGGTGGCCCCGGCTGTTAGCTTGATCTAACTGATACTGCTTGTATGAATTCCAGCCCACCCAATTCTTAAGTCATTCGCATTTTAAAGAAGTGTGCATAATAAATCAAAGGCATCATTATTTGATAGAATTTTAAAAACTAGAGCAAAAGGCTTTCATATTTTCAAAATGTTTCACATTTTGGGACAGGGATATACCATCAAGTGTGGGAGTTTAGCCTGGTTCAGCCAACCTAACTTTTTTTTTTTAATAGCTGATTATCTTCATCAAAAAGTGCCAAGGTAATTTCAATAGGAGAATTATTTTTCAACAAATGATTAGATAGTCATATGAAAAGAAAGAAATCTTGACACCTACTTCCAGCATATACAAAATTAATTATAGATATAAATGTAATAACTAATACTAGAAAACTTTTAGAATAAAATATTGTGGAAATCTTAGTAATATTCTGGATAGCAAAAAATTCTTAAATTCAAAATAAAGTTTGAAATGTCAGTAAATTAGATTTATAAAAAATATTGCTGTTCATAAGACATTGTTACCAAAGTGAACAAAAATGCCCATAGACTGAAAAGTTTACACAACCTATATCTGACAAAAGCCTTGGGTCTGAATTGTATTAAGAGTTCTTACAATTTAATAAAAACAAGTTAAACAATTCAATAAAAATAGGCAAAACATTTGAACAGTCATGGGCCCAAAGAAGACATGAAAAGATGCTCAGCATCATTGGTCATTTGGAAAATGCAAATTAAAAGTCACCATGAGGGCTGGGCATATTGGCTCATGCTTGTAATCTTACTACTTTGGGAGGCCGAGGCGGGTGGATCACTTGAGGACAGGAGTTCGAGACCAGCCTGGTCAACATGGAGAAACCCCATCTGTACTAAAAATATAAAAAATCAGCCAGGCATGGTGACACATGCCTGTAATCTCAGCTACTTGGGAGGCTGAGGCAGGAGAATCGCTTGAACCCAGGAGGTGGAGGTTGCAGTGAGCCAAGATAGTGCCACTGCACTCCAGCCTGGGTGACAGAGAAAGACTCTGTCTCAAAAAGAAAAAAAAAGTCACCATGAGCTGTCACTTCATACTTAATAGAATGGCTAAAATTAAAAAGACAATATATCAAGTGTTAGGATACACAAGAAATAGAACTTTCATACACTGCTGGTGAAAATGTGAAATTGTATAATCATTTTGGAAAACTATTTGGTAGCTTATTTGAAAGTTAAATAACCATCAACTACACAATTTGGAAATTCCTTTCCTAAGTATTTACCCGAGAGAAATAAATGTATATGTCCACGTAATGACTTGCACATGTTCAAAGTAGCTTTATTTGTAGTAGACAAAAGCTGGAAACAACTAAAATGTCCATCAAAATTTTCTATATCCATTATAGTAGAATACTGCTCAGTAATATAAATGAGTAAACTATTGGGAAACTAAAAAATATGGAAGAATTTGGAAAGAATGATGTTGAGTTAAAGAAGCTAGGCAAATAGAGGACAAACTGCATGTTTCTATGTATATGATTATATAAAATGCAAACTAATCAATAGTGTCAGAAAACAGAAGAGTGGTTTCCTGGGTAGTGGATGAGGAAGTGGAGAGAGAAACTAATTTAAAAGGGCACAAGAAGCTTTAGGGATAATAGATATATTCATTATTTTGACAGTGGTGGGCTCACAGATGTATAGGTAAGTCAAAATTTACCAAATCATATACTTTAAATTTGTGCAGTTTATTTCACATCAACTGTACATCAATAAACTTGTAAAAAATTTAAAGAAAAGGTAATTTGGTCTCCATACTAAAGTGTTGGATTTTTCTGCAGAAGATATTTGAACATGGTCTTTTCATTGAAATCCCATTTTAAAGGATGAAACATTGTTATAAATGGTATGTGTTTCAAAATCATCTGGTCCAACCACCTCATTTTACATGTTTGGAAGCTGAAACATATTTTACATGTTTGGAAGCAAAGAAACGAAGAGGTTTTTCTAGTTCTATCAAAATGAGAACTAGAGCTCTGATCTTCTGGCTCAGGCCAGGGCTCCTTTCAGACATTCTGGAGATTTTGCTTTGTAGTCCATGAGACTAAATTTCCTAGCAGTGACAGGAACAGATGTTCTAAGAGTGCTCCTGAAGTGTCCCCACTTTTGCCATCTGTTCTTCAAAGATTGCACAACAAGAAAAAAATGTACTCTCTTTTTATGTCTTGTAAAATGTAACTGAATATTCTTTGTGGTCTTCATATTTTTCCCATTTTGTTGTAATTATTTATAATGAATCTATCCATGATTAACCTATCCTCAGAAAGCATTCTCAAATATGACTTTCTCATAAACTATTGTAGCAGAATTTCAAACATGTAGAATGCACCAAAAACAAAACAAAACAAAACAAAAAAACCCTGATTTTTTAACATTGTCTGAGTATAGTATTTGGTCAAAACTTGGATTCTTAGGTTGGGAGTTAATTTTCTAAATTTTCATTTCAGGAAGTAGGAAAAGCCTATCCCACACCAGTGTTACTTATTTTAATTTAAATGTTGGTTTTCCACCTACTTTTTGTTACCTCAAAAGATGATGTCTGTAGCTGATCTTGACGTTTTTCTAACAAACAGCTGTCTCTCCCTCTCTCCCGCTCTCTTTCTTACAGATATACTTTGTCTTCTATTATAAGATTAGAAATGAGCTTTTCCAGATTTCCTGATAAGGGTATTTACCCAATCCTGGTATGGAAGTCTTGTGGGGCTTTGGTGTGGTTGGGGTAGAGGATGTGCAGATAATCTTAAGTACTACCATTTGTACCTGTGTGGGCGTAAAAAGTAGATACCTAGAGCACCTGCCTGAGGACAAAGCCAATTCACAGGACAGCAGAGAGGAGACATGGAAATTACCTGAGCTTTGGAAAATGTTCTTCTGGTCACCGAATCAACCAGCCCTGAGACTGCCTTCCTTTGGATTTCTAGTTACATTAGGGAATACATATCCTCTTCATTTAAATAACTTCTTATTGGTATTTTGTTACTTGAATCTAAATGATGTTATCCTCTGACTGATTTGTTCATTCTTCATCCACTCATTCATTTATTCTTTTATTCAGCTAAAGCAATGAACTTTATGTTTTCATCCTGGGCTAGAGGAGCAATGAACCAAGATATCTATAGATTGCTATAATGAATGCAAGTTTTCATTCTGATTATAGTCACATTCTGAGGCTCTGCTGGGACATATACAATATTTTATGTTAAATTTCATCCCATAAGATGTACAGTGTGTTCTTTACAAGAATGCACAACATTTGATGAACAGAATTGTTTTCTCTTCTCATTCTGCATCTTCTTTTTACCTTTAAAAAGTCATTTAACATCATTGGTCATATGTCTTAATTTATAATGTGATACATTTTACTAGTACAGTTGTTCTTGACCTTTGGGTCAATTATCCTTTTAATAATTAATAAAAGCTATGGACCTTCAGAATGTCATACATGAGGCTACTTTTCATCACTTTTCCCGGGTATTATTATTTACTTAACTTTAGATATCTTGAGATGTTTTGAAATATTTTGTTTGTGGGTTCTAGTATTTCTGTTTATCCTTAATCTCCCCACCTATCTCTGTGCTTTCTTGTGTGTATTAATCTGCTTAGTCTGCTATAACAAAATGTCATAGACTGGGTGCCTTAAACAACAGACACATTTCTCACAGTTGTGGAGGCTGGGAAGTCCAAGATCAAGGTACCAGCAGATTTGGTTCCTGGTGAGGGTCATCTTCCTGGTTTGCAGACGGTAACTTTCCAGTCTTCTCTCTCTCTCTCTCTTTCTCTCTCTCTCTCTCTCTCTTTGTCTCTCTCTCCCTGTCTCTCTCTCCCTCCCTCCCTTCCTCTTCTTATAAAGCTACTAATCCCATCATGAGGTCCCCATTCTCATGACCTCATCTAACCATAATTACCCTCCCCAAACTCCATCTCCAAATACTACCACATTGGGGGTCAGGACTTCAACATGTGAATTAGGGGTGACCAGAGAGATGTGACAGAATTCAGTCTTTAGTACTTTGCCTGTAGCTTTTACTTTTGCGTCCACCTCCTTATCCCTACCTCAGGGCTACTAAACTAGAAAAGGCTCTTTGGCTATTCTAGGCTCTAGTACTGAGATGACTTGGGCGTCTCATATTCCAGGGATACCAGGTCATGAAGAGAAGTGAAGAGGAAAAGGGGGCTAAGTCAGTCCTGGGACCTGCAATGAGTCTGTATCCTAGCCTTAGCTGGCTTTACATGCAGCTCCTATATGACAAAACCCCAGGCAATGGTAGGTACCCAGATTTCAGGCTTCTGTATCTGCCCAAAGCAGTGAGAAGTCCTAACATTTCACCTGGCATCTATCATATGTATTCCTTTCATTGTTCAGGATCTGGGCTTCCTGCTGCCACTATCTTCTGCTGAACACGTGTCCAGATTTATGGCTTCAAGCCCAATCATTGCCTTGCATTTATGTTCCATTACTGGCTCATAAACCATATCAACCATGCAAAAGTCATGAATGGCTTCAAATAGAGTTATACAAGGATTGAATTTGTGGTAGAAAGATGACTTTGGCTGCTGGGTAAAGATGGATGAGAAGAAGGCAAATGTAGGGGCAGATTCATAAAGATGTTATGCTTCTATGTTGATCTCTTTCTTTTTTATTAAACTATTTCTCTTTTTATATACCATTCATTATTGCTACATTATTGCAACTCCTCTGAACCAAAGCCTGGCTTCTAAATGTCATCCTGACCAGGAGTCTCAACATTCATAATTAGAAGTCCAGTTGATTCTTGAACAATGCAGGTTTGAACTGCAAAGGCACGTCTATATGTGAATTGTTTTCAACCAAATGCATATGGAAAATAAAGTATTTATAAGATATGAAACCCACATATACAGAGGCAGGAGACTTTTCTTGTATTTTAATTCACAGGGCTGACCGGAAGACTTGAGTATTCATGAATTTTGGTATACATGGGAGCCCTGGACCTAATCCCCTGTGTATACCAACTGTATTTCTGAAAGAATAAATGCTTGTATTAAACTACACGGTTGTTGCATTTCATGCACTATAAAGTAAAATGAAGATTTGGGATTTTTTTCCAATAAACACTGCAAACATAGTCTCTAAAAACATAATTTAATTTTTATTTATCTGTGTAATAATGGGATTATTAACATTTCTAGACTTTATACAGTGCCTGGTTCAGTGCCTGGCATACTGTTTTTGAATACAAAGATGGGTGGATACCTTTGTTTCCTTTGAATAGTAAGCAACAGATTTCTAGTTACCATAACTGTCTCTCTTCTTCCTCTGACTAAAGACTGAAAATGTATCTGAAGAACAGTTTCAATTCGTTCATCAAATACTATACTAAAAGTAGGCCTATATTATAAATGAATGCAAGGTTGAAATATGATAAACAACTACCATTAATGTCATTGTCACATCATAAAGCTGCCAGAGACACACTCCATGAGCTGCTGCCAATTTTTTCTTTTAAAACATTGTAACTAATTACTTACCAATACAATAAAATTTGCCTCAGAAACAAAATGCGCCCCCAAAAGTTTATTTAACACCACACTTCGTTTAAATGGCCTTCCCAAGGTCTTATAAAAATAACAGAGAAAATAGCAATTCAGATACATTAAGCTAGAACTTGAGGCTTGCAAAAATCGTAAACATTCAACGAGTTACCCTTCTAAAAACTTTCATTTTTCATATCTCTTATCTGGATGATGAAGCTTTGAAAGGAATTTCTGGCTGCTGGTCCTAGCAACACGAGGTTGCATAAATAAACCCAACTGCTGCAAGGTAATGAAGTTAACAGACTTTTTCCTCTGTAGGAAACTTGGCTTATAAATATCCCAGGAAAGAAAACTGAATTCTTTTCTAACTTCTAAAAAAAATCCAAAAAAAACAGTGGTAGTCTGGCATTGTATGTTTACATTTAGGCTTAATATAAAAAACTTGAGTTCAGTTGGCAAAAACTTAGAAAATGCTCCCCA
This sequence comes from Homo sapiens, assembly GCF_000001405.40. Lineage (NCBI taxonomy): Eukaryota > Metazoa > Chordata > Mammalia > Primates > Hominidae > Homo > Homo sapiens. The sequence continues at coordinate 83,363,230 of NC_000007.14, forward strand.
GACGACACTTGAGAGTTTAGCAAATATTTATTTCTTTTTCATCGAAGTTGAGCCAAATAGAGATTGTACATAATGGTACATAGCGCGTAGTGGCAGATCCACGTTGTAGTCAAAGAGACACACTGTTAATGGTCCCTGCAGCTTGCCACCAGATGCTAATAAGTCTCATGGCTTAGAATCAGTGAAAAGAAAGAATATGGCACACACTGTTATGAACCCAGCCAAGCAAATAAAAGGATACCATACAGAGAAGAACACTCCCATATAGTGCTCTAGCTTATAAGTAAGCCATTTAAACACAAGCAGAACACAATTTATAATGAAAGCCAAAATATAAAGCTATCCTTCCAAGAAAAAAAAAATAAACATACCAGCTTAAATAACACTGCTACAATCAGCTGAGTGTTTGTGGAAAATCTATTATTTATATCTGATTCAAATGCAACAGTTGTTGGCCTGAAAAATGAGTCCTTTTTTAAAATGGAACTCAGTGTGACGCTCTGCTGTAAGAAAAAGAGTATGGACTTCTTATTATAAATGTTGCATTTTCTCTTGGAATCCAAATATCTATACAATACTAAGTACTTTTCTTAATATGTTTATTAGGCTACAGGTGTCACAGGTCAATTCATTTTTTTTTTTTTTTTTTTTTTTTTTTTTTTTTTTTTTTTTTTTTGAGACGGAGTCTCGCTCTGTCGCCCAGGCCGGACTGCGGACTGCAGTGGCGCAATCTCGGCTCACTGCAAGCTCCGCTTCCCGGGTTCACGCCATTCTCCTGCCTCAGCCTCCCAAGTAGCTGGGACTACAGGCGCCCGCCACCGCGCCCGGCTAATTTTTTGTATTTTTAGTAGAGACGGGGTTTCACCTTGTTAGCCAGGATGGTCTCGATCTCCTGACCTCATGATCCACCCGCCTCGGCCTCCCAAAGTGCTGGGATTACAGGCGTGAGCCACCGCGCCCGGCCAGGTCAATTCATTTTTAAGGACAACAGCTGCTGTTTGTTTCATGCTTAACACCAACACTCAAAATGACTTATAGTATTTTACAAATTTTACAAATGTTTATAATTACTATGAAGATTTACAAAACCCTAAAACCTATAGCAAATATCGAACACTCATTACAAACATTCTAAGTATTTAACTAATTTTAGATAGAAAAAACTCTAAAATATGTATGGAATTGCCACTTACTAAACAGGCAGACTTTCTGTTCCCTTTTTTCTAGAGCTCTTATTAGTGTTTATCCTTATTTTTAATCCCTGTTTCTCCAAGTTGATAGCTTTGCTCTGAAATATTCAGTAATTCACACAAAAGAAAAAATTAGCAATATAGAATTATAGACGTGGAATCACGAAGTAAAATCTTTTTTGTTAACAAATCTGGATCTCTTGCCCAATGGGTGACGTTGTGCTGAAGGAGGAGGTGAATGGGCATTGTTTTATGTCAAAACTAAGTCTATCCACAGGTCCTCTCCTGTAACAAAGATAGAAGAGGTCTAAAGAAGCAGGAGACCGGCCCTCGATGGAGGTGCCTCTTAGAAATTAGATGAGTGGTTATGATTTTTGCTCAATGTTGCTAGAGAGCATGGTTTCTCTCCTTCTACAAGAAAGAGAAAAATGGGGAAAATTTGGTGAGATGAAGGGTGAACTCTTAATTCCTCCAAGTCTTGTAGGTATCTAAGTATGTGCCCTCCCTGAGTTCAGAGAAGATCCATCCATTTTTAATTTTTAAAGCCTGGGCATTTCTCACAACAGATTCTGAATTTGAATTAATTCTAACCTCAGACAGAACAAAAGACTGGGGATGTATTTTTGTGGTATGTTTTAGATTCTCAAGAAGGACAGAACAGCATAGATTGATTTATTTGTATTTTGATAGGGCAGTGAAGATTTATTTTATAGTATGTGAGGGGTGTGTGTGTGTGTGTGTTGGGAGAGAGAGGGAGAAACTGAGAAAATGGTGGGACATGAAACATATCCTTGGAAACTGCTTTCTCTCTCCCTTCGTCTTTCTCTCTCCCTCCCTCTTCTTTCCCATTTCTCTTCAGTACTGCCATAAACAGGCGGGAAGCAAGATTATATACATATATATGTACATATGTGTGTGTATAATTATATGTAAAATTTAGTGGTCTCACCAAATTGTGGACTTGGGCCCTCAAAGTTTTCTTATCAATTTTCTTTCAAATTAGCATTGAATAAACTTTCTTTGGGTTTGATTTATTTTCCTATAATAAATTTTAGCATTTTATGTAAAATGTTTCTTTTCTGGTTAATAGTCACTTTATTTTAATCAAACGCTCTTCAGTATATGGACTTCTTATGACTTGTGTCATAGAAAAGCTATTTTCCTCTGCCTATTGCTTCAGTTACCAAATATTTAGTTTACAAGTTACACCATTGTTATCATCATTAACTACTTGTCTGTGTTATTGCAATTAAAATGATAACTATTTATGTCTTATCTGCCTTTTTAATTTTAAAATTCAGATACAGGAGAAAATCCTGCTTTCTTTCTTGTGTGTTAATGGAAGGCAATTTTCAATAAAGTGTACTTAATTGACTTATTTGTTCAGACATAAACTTTGTAAGGCCCCTGTGATCTGTGTTTGTGGTTCTATTTCTCCAAATTGAGCAGGCTTTTACTGAATATAGTTTTTAAAAATACATTTCACTACATAGTCTTTTCAGTTATTATTTAATGGCAGTAATGACCTCCAGTGGATTCTTGGGTAAATAGCAAGTGGAATTTTCAGAGGATGTCAATTTTCAGTATATTTGCATTTCTTAGATCTTTTGAAGCATGGTGACTTATCTGAATAAACTTAAATTTTTCTTAAAATATTTATGTATTTGTTCATTTTACAATGAAATTGCAAGTGATTATGAGCACTTTAACTTAAATGTATAACCTATAAGCTAACTTTGAAAACTGAAATAAACACTGTTTAAGATTAATATCTAAATAAATGTTCATAATGGTTCTCCTGTGTAATCCACTTGCTTTCAATTTTTATTTAGGTGAAAACATCTTACAAAATTTCATATTTTAGAAAGGTAATTGCTAAATATTTAATAGAAGAAGGAAAGACTTTGATAAATAAACATTCTTAAAAATACAATTGTTTTTTATAACATTTAAGAGAGAGGTAAAAATGCTCTGAATATCTCAGTAGTTAAGTGAACTCATGAAACAATTTTCTGTCTCTTAATATAAAAGAGAGAAGAAAATTTGATATTTGAGAGCAAATCACTTTAATATTTTTTTCACAAATAAAACACGGTTGTTATAGTATATTTTAGATTTCAGCGAAGATTATTTAGAAACTTAAAATTTGGAGCTTTAATAGATTTTCAGTGCTGCAAAATCTTCATTTTTGACTTGTGAGATAAATTATCTATAAACAATACTTTCATATTAAAGTATGATACAAGGATTAACATGTTTTTTATTTCAGTTATTTGTTTCTGCAAATGAACTTGATGTATCCATGTACCTACTGATAATCTGCTTTCAAATCTTTCCTAAACAGATATCCGTCTGTAGAGAAAAAAGAAATGTGTGAGAATATAATTTTTTTTACCACAAGAGGGAAGCAAAAATCTTTTACAGTAGTTAGAATCCTAACTATAACTTCATCTGATTTGACATTCTTTCTGAGATTTGATATCTTTCTGAGAAGTTACCTTAGTTTTTATTTCCACAGTGAGTGAAAATTAAAGACTGTGTTATAAAGCAAAAATAGTGTGAATGTACTTTAATGAATATTTTACGAAGGGCACAAGCCTCAGAATGACATTTTTCCTTTCATGGGTTACAGCACTCACAACACACCTGCTACTTAACACTCATGGCTTAAACAACACTAATAAAATAATCCTTAAAGAGTACAGAAAGTTCACATGAGAATGCCAAAGTATCTTGTATTCTGCATATCTTACATTGTGATGGAAAAGAAAAATTCAGAAATATTAAAACATATTTAGTTTTATATTTACCATGATTATAAGTCTCCAATTTTTCTTCAATATTCTAATAATCTTGTCTTCCAAAAGTAAAATAATAATTTTCACAGAAAAGCAGCCAAGTACTGAAAATAACAGCTACAGTTGTTTTTTGATAAACATAATGAGAAACCATTAAGCAATGCATTTATTTAAAAAATTAGTTAATTTTATGTAAAGTTTATCCAGTCAAATGAGTATGTAGAATAATTTATTATAACACCTTCATAGTCATTCCTGTATTACAGAAATCTCTTTTAAGTAATGCAAAGAAGTTGGATGATTTATTTTTTTACTTTTTTACTTTCCAAATATAAATTCTTCAAAAGACAGTAGATAGTCTCACCCCATCAGGAGTCCAGCGTGTGCCTGGGCAGGCGGTAATGCTCAGGTTTGGAACGGAGCTTCTTTTCCTGAGGGTTGGCATACTTCCACTTGGAGGGTGACATTTTAAGCTTTTTCCTCTTTCTATCTGTGCACCATACTTTCTCGCAGTATTCTTCCACTCTCTGGAAGTTGCTATAACCGATCAGCTGCAAGAATTCCTTGTACCATGGTTTTGCTCCCTGCGAGATGCTACTCTGAGCAGGACAAGGCATCCTGTGATGCCTGTCCTCCTCATCGTCCTTGTTAAACATATCCTCGACTTTCTCCTCTTCCACTACCTCCAAGGTGATTTTACGGACCGTATGGACAAAGCTATGCTCTACTGTCTGGCAAAAATAGGTCCCAGCATCTGATTTGTGTAACCTTAGGAAGAGTAAACCAAGGTCCATCTTAACCACTCTGTCATCTGTCTTCACCTGCAAAAACAAAAAAGTAAATGGCACTGAAGTACACAGGAGAGAAAATAACAATCCATCACCCTTTCCACTACCTATCTTGAATTTTTTCATTTTCACTGTCACATAATGAAACCCTGAAAATCATACATACACAAAAATGCTAAATAATTACATCTCTCTCTCTCTCTCTGTGTGTGTGTGTGTGTGTGTGTGTGTGTATTCTGAAGATATTTACATTGGTGGTCACTTCATATCAATGACCTTGAGATCATTTTATATCAATACTGTAAAGTAAGAGGGTTTTCTCCCTAATGATTCAATTAATCATTAGAAAAAATACATTTCAATATAGCAGTCACAGTAAGAGTGAAAGGAAAATTTCTAAAATTTATTTTTTAACATTTGTTTTTCAATGGACAGAACAAATACCACTTCCCACATTCTTTCAGGAATGATTATGCCCTCCAGATGGTAGTGACCAATGTTTCTACAAGGACCTCTCTTTGGAGAACTGGGCTCCTTTCACTTTGTCGTCTTACAAAAAAATTCATCAGTTAATCAGTTCAGTGAACATCCCTTACATTTTCATAGGCTGTCCTTTACAAGAGATTAAAAAATAAACAAGTAAAATCCAGTTCCTGCTCTAAAGGATCAGACGGAATAGCAAATATTAAGTTTCAATATACCTTCAGTGCTCAAATATCTTTTGTCATGTATTTGATATAATACTCACATTATTTCTATAAATAAATAATTATAATTCAGAGTAAGAAGAGCAAGATAAGGCTTTCAACGAATAGCTCATGTTTTATCACAAATAGCTGGACTAGTAAGTAAATGATTTGACATTAGGCAGAGTTAGAGTCAAATATTGCCACCACTATTTATTGTGTGATTTAGGGCATTCATGTATGTTTCTTGCCTTAGTTTTCTTTGTAAAGTGGAGATAACTTAATAACCTGAAAAATTGTTGTGAAGATTAAAGAAAATAGGTGAGGATTTTTTGCACAGTGCTATCAATAGCTACCTCTACCTTTCTACTATACATTCATCTAACCAAAAACAATCATGTTTTCCTGTGGCCCAGGATCTTACGATAATGGTATAAAGGTGGTTCACAGTATGCTGACAGATTTCACCTTTGAGAATACAAAAATGAAAGCAATATTCTTCTTTGTCAATATAAAAGAAATGTAGAGGCAATAATTACAAACAATTTGGCAATAAAGGCTATTAATGATAAGCATGTTTTTGTCCCTGTGATAGGTCCTGGCCAGGCATGCCAGACTCAGCTCTTTCCTGCCTTGATGAGACCTGGCATAGATGAAGTTTCAATGTGATTACTCAGGTGTAGAAACTGGTATCCACAAACCACGATTTGTGGAACAGATGGCAAAATGTAGTAATATAGTAAGAAATAGGGATGTTATTTTTAAGTTATGTGGTGCCCCAAAGGCATTTTTTTCAGCCATTATAAGTAAGTTAATAACTCAGAAGCTTCAGAGTGTCCTAGTTGGGCTAATAAAAGAGTCTCCATAAGTCTTTTGCAGGTGCTTCCCTTGACTTGGTGGGACCATGTCCTGGTAGGCAGAATGCTGTAGCCATTAACTGGAGAGTGAAATCCTCCAGTGAGGAACCAAGAAGACCCTCAAAGCAAAATCATCTTCACCACATAGAAACAATCTGTTTTACTGATACATTTTTCTCAGAATATCCTTAGCAACTGTTATAGGCAACTAACTTTTAAAGGACTTTGTGTACCTCTGCTTGTTTACTCATGCCTCCAGGCCAGGCTTCTGAACAAACTTATTTTCCAGCACTAGCTTTCTCCATAACTTTACCATCTATTGCAACCTATGACCACCCCGTGCCTCACATGATACTGACTCTGAAGTAAGCCTCCAGTGTTTTAAAATTTATCGCTGCATTTGATATGGATGAAATCTGCCTCCTTAAACATCTTTTATTTTCTGTGAGGTATGTGCCATTATACTGTCCTTATTTTCCTTACTCTTTCTTGGTTTCTTCTGCAGATTTCTCATTACCTTAAGGTGCAATCCTCCATCCTTCACTGATCTTACATTTTATTTCCATCCATTTGATAGTACTTTTATTCCTTTGTTTCAGCCAGCTTCCCTAAAATGGTACATCTTACACATAGATAATCCATTGTTTTGTGTTTTCTGTTAGTTAAAAACCAAAAACAATGGATTTGGTGTTTTTAATTAAAGAAACATAAATAACCCTTTAATATGTACAATTCAGTATCTTCCCACTCAAACTGCCCTCCATTTACTAACTTTCCTATTTCTGGCCATGACATCATTATTCTTCTAGTCTCCCTATCCTCAATTGTTGATCGTTTATACTTCTCTCTCATTATATGCTATCACAAATTCCTATTTACATTTCTTCAGTGGTGACCCTTAAAACACCCCTTCCTCATCACCATTTTTGCTGCAATGTTAAATTCTCATACCTTATAACTGTCTCTTTGACCTTATCTCATGACAAACTCTCCAAATCTTCCCTTTTTTTCTGTTTCTTCTTTCATACCCAGCTTGATTCTGTTTCAGGATCTCTGTGTATATCTCTGCCTTCAGATACTTCTTTAAGGCTGATTAATTCTCATCCTGCGTAACTGAATTAAATATCATCTTCCCAAACTGGCCTTTCTCACACCCTGTAAAAGTGTCCTCCCTCCTTTATTACCTTCGTTTCGCCTGTTAACCTTCATATACTTGAGCATGCAACATTACATACAAGTATCTAACAATAGTCCTTCAATTAAATTTCCTGTGTCATCTTTCCCCCCTTATTTCAACAAATGGATACTAATTTACTCTTCTTTAAAGCTCACTTTCTTTTGTCAACATCCTGATTTAGAACTTATTCAGATCTCTATTTCTTGCCTGAGCAGTAAGAATTGCTCCATTAACCAGATCCTGCTTTTGTAAATCTAGAACCCAAAATTGCTTAATGTAGTGTTTCTCAAACTAGCGTTGGTGGAAGAGGTGCATTTGTGGGGATGTGGAGATCAGCTCTTTTTTCTATAAGGATTTTTTAAATTATTGTGTTTATTGACACAAAAATCAATATGAATTAATAAACTATATTTGGAATCATGTGAAAGATCAATCTCAGTGTTAGTGTTTATGTTTATCATAGATTCTGAACCACTTTCAAAGCCATGTTCCCAAATGATAAAAAGAACAAAGATGGTATAATATGTTAATGATAAGTTACAGCGAAATGAAAATGAAACAACATCCCCATGTAGTAATACACATAAAAAGTTTCAAGGTCACTTGAATAAAGTGTTGGGAGGATGGAGTCATCACATGGTATAGCTACAGGCAGAAAGTGTTATACATACACATATGTGGCAATCTGTGTCTCATCTTACAACCATAGAGATACATATTTCAGTAAAAACAAAACACACAGTAAATAAACATTTTAATGATGCGTCAATTTGTTTATAATTTATCTTTAATTTTGGTTCAATATTTTAATAAAAGCTACAAGCGTAAGGAATGTATGTGTTGTTTTATTCTTGTGAATATTTAATGAACATATTAATATAAATCGTGCTAGCAGCCCAGGAAGATGTTTCACTTTTAAGGGCAGGTGGTGGGGGCAACCTGTACATTACCAGAATCAACCCCTCCTTTTCATAATTCTTTATGCTGCCATTCCCGTGTATCGCCACCCTGCTTTCCACTCACAGCTCTTACTCTGAACATACTCTTTTTCCCTTAAATAAACTCCTTTCTACTGTCTACCAATCCATTTGTTTTTTCATTTCCTTCCAGGCTTAACTAAACTTTCCCTTCCTTTATAAATACTTCCTTTATAGCCCCTAAAGGTATTTTGCTTCTTTTTGTAACACAATACCATTTACATTTGTAGCACAAAAGCTGTTATTTATATTTCTTTTCAAATTATTTTTCCACACAAGTTTCATCTCTTCAAACATATAAGTTTTTAAAGGGCAAAGACCTATTTCTTTATTCTTCTGAATTATCCTATAATGAGTAAAGAATTCAGAAGATAGTGTAAAATGAGAACATACTAATTCATTTTTAGAGCACAAACATGTATAGCAATGGGGTATATCCATACAGACATATCCAAAAGATATTAAAAACTTCCAGGTAAATCCAATAATAATTTGAATAAGAAGGAGCAAACATGGTTTCAGGAGCACTTAGTAACTGATGAAAGAGGGCTACATCACAGATACGTCTTAGGACATTGCCTTTACCTGAAAAAAAAAATGCATACAAACATCCTTATTGAATATGATCTTTTGTTGTCTCTGTTATATCTCCTGTGAGAGTGAATAATACATGAGAAAATATTAAAGTGATCTAGCCTAGTTTCCAGCATATAGCAAGCAGTTTATGAAAGTGATTTAAAAGAAAGCAAAAAGCAAAACTAAAAATAAATACAAATTCTTGACCACTAGAATTAGGGTTGTTTGTTTGTTGCTTGTTTTTTCAAGTTTGGTAAGTTAAAAAAGCAGGGTTTAAAAAAAATCAGAAACCCAAGTTTGAGAAACACTGTATTATGTACATATAAAGTCCAGATTGGTCAAGATACAAGATACGGAATCATGACAATTACCATAGAAATTGTCCTACATTGTTTATTTCCATGTTAGAGATAGTGCCTCTCAGAATTTTGATCTACACTCTTGGTTATGACAAATACACATTACAAAGACAGGAATATAAGCTGTTTTCATGCTCGGTCTGGAGGGCCATACATTATGTAGGTTAAATCACCTAGAAAGTTAGAGGTATCTTACATGGACTATAAATACCCAAAAATATAAAATGACTTAGAAATTTGTATCTGAAGTTCTTCCACAATTTAGTCTTTCCCTGTCAGTTTACTTGGGTACCTCCAACATCAAATCTTGATTACAGAATTGTTTTCATCCATCTGTGTTTTTTTCTACGTCTGCAGACCAGATTTTCTCTGTCAAGAAGATAGTGCATAATACATCATTTCTATCAAATATTCTTATAGGCAATCTATATAAATACAAAATTTTTGCTGAAAACGGTTTTATTATTCTTAGCTATAAAGATTGATTCAGTATGTTTTATAATTTCTAGTAAAAAAAAAAGTAATTGAACAAAGAACTCTGAACATCTGGTAGCTGGTCAGGAAGAAGCAGTTATTTCCATGTCTACCAACCATATGGTTCCATACTTTCACAGGAAAAGGACAGACATAGGCCTTGAATTGATTTAGTTGAGAATACATTTAATAATAAAATCAGTTTTAGTTAAGAAATAGAGGAAACAATTTATATATTTGTTTGTTTATTTATCTGGCCTGCCTTTGACCAATTTTATACATATACACACATACATATGTATATATATTTATTTATTTTACTTACAGAAAATATACCTAATATGACAGAGCATAAAAATAGAAATTTATTTTATTAAAAACACTTTCCAACATAAACCTGATATATGATACTGATGGTTACCTAGTAGACAGGATGAATTGTTTAAAAGCTCATTCGGGGAAACCTATCACACTACGTGGAGAAGAACAAATGTGGAAAAACAACGCTTATTTTAATACAAGATTATGCAGGAAAGAAAGTCATTATAAATAACTCAAAACCATAACATGTAAAACATGTTATATTCAAAAACATACACGATATCAAAGGAGAAATTTAGGGCATTTATATTCAAGAATGAATTAATGTCTAGAAGAGGCAAAAGAGTTTTTCAAGTCAACAAAAAGAGAAATAAAAAAGAAAAAATGGAAAAAGCATATAAATGGGCACTTCAGAGAAGGAGAAACCCAAATGTTTAGTAAGAATGCAAGTTAACATTCAACCTCACTAGTAAGGTTAGAAACTCAAATTTAGGCCGGGCGCGGTGTTTCACGCCTGTAATCCCAGCACTTTGGGAGGCTGAGGCAGGCAGATCACCTGAGGTTGGGAGTTCGAGACCAGCATGACCAACATGCAGAAACCCCATCTCTACTAAAAATACAAAATTAGCCAGGTGTGGTGGCATATGGGTGTAAACCCAGCTACTCGGGAGGCTGAGGCAAGAGATTTGCTTGAACCCAGGAGGCAGAGGTTGCGATAAGCCGAGATCACGCCATTGCACTCCAGCCTGGGTTACAAGACCAAAACTGCGTCTCAAAAAAAAAAAAAAAAAAAAAAGACAGAAAGAAAGAAATTCAAATTTAAACAAGACGTTACCCTATAGCCAGAAGAAAGACAAAACTTAGAAAACAAGATAATACCAAATGTTGGTGAGCATGTGGGGAAACAGGAACCCACATGAACTGCTTTGGGAGTCCAGATGGCACAGATATCCTGAGAGCAAGCTGACAATAATTACATAAATGAAGGATGCTGACAAATAATAATGCAGAAACTTCCACTCAGATCTATAAGGGGTTATTTGCAGAGATGACTGTCAAAGATGTGATAGCAAGAGTTAATTACACTCTGGATGTCCACATTTAGGGGAATTAAGAATGAATTAAGAGCAATGTATGCATGCTATGGTATGTTAAGTAACAGTCAAGCAATGAAATAGAGACACAAACAGCAACAGGGATAAACTGTAAAAACATAGTGCTGAGTTCACAAAGTAAGAAGGAGAATATAATCTATAATATAATACATTTACTTTTACAGTTCATGCATACTCAATATGTTATATACCTGTTCAATTTGCAAACATACTATTGGACTTATTCCAATCATTCAACAGATGCATATGGAGAAACAAGGATGAAAGTAGAAAAAGGAGGTCCAGGAAAAACAAAATCAAACAAGAGAAATTTGTATAAACCAATCATCACAATGTACCATAAACTAAATCGTATGATTAAGTAAATTATGCATCTGAAGTGAAAAAAAACAAGAGCCAAAATCAAGCAAGCAAAAAATAAAAACCAAAAACAAAAACTCCTGTTGTTTGTAATGATTAATGCGGTTTGACAACCAATAAACTAAGTTTGTAAAGAGAGGTTTGTGATTAATGGTTTATTCAAATTTTCCATAGATAAGAATCTCAGACTGAAGAGAAATTAAGTTTAAAAAGAATGAAGGTAAAGACAATGTTTGAAAACAAAATTGCACAATATAAGGAACTGTACAACAACTATAATTGAAGTAGAAATTCAATACTAAATTTCCTAGTAACCAAAGGAAAGAAGAAAGTATGATAAATCCTAAGATTTAAAATGTCTCTAAAATATATTTTTAAAATTACTCCTTATGATAAGTACATCTTTCCTGGCACTGAGACTTGAGAAAAATCTCTCTGCATGTCCTTATAAAAAGAGAGGGAGGTTTCCAACAACAGCACCATAATAAATACATTTCCTTTAGGCAACATCTCAGTGTAGGGTGAAGAGATAATGCCTGATAATAGTTCAATATTATAGCTATTCTGTAGAGTTAAAACAATGTAGTCCAGATATACAGTTCTATACTGGGATATCTTCATGCACACGCATATTTTTATGATCTGGAAGACCATATAAATTATAATTTATACTAGAACAAAAGGAACTTGCAAGTGAAAGGAATTGGTATTTTGGAGTATCTACTGTACATGTGTGCATTGGGCTTTCTGCATTACCATGTTATCCGGTTTAATCAGATGCACAAAGCTAGAATGGTGTCAGTGGCATGAGACTTAGATCCATAACTGATATCATAGATCTAAGAGAAAATGTTTTAATTTTGAAATATACTCAATATTCTCCTGGAAAATTAACAGAACAGAGTTCAGTTAAAAACTCTAGATTCATTCCTCTTGTTATGACCATAAGTTGTTTTATATTCTCCATTTATACAATAGGAACTCTGTCTCCGCCATTGTAAAAGCAAGAAACATGAAATTAATGGGCTAGCCTCCTAATTATTGTGCAACTAAAAAATGAGATAAATGATATTATACAAATATGTTTGTCAAGGCTAGAAAAGTAAATTCTGAATATTTACCTGTTGTAAAGAGTTGTTAGTTTAGAAAGATGAGCACATTTTTTAAATAGACTGAAAAAGAATGCCAAAACTACGAAACAGATGGTTCAAATGAGGCAAGAGTTCATGCACTTTACATTATAAAAACAAGAAAAACAAAGAAATAATATTAATGGGGAACAAAAACTGATGCTTTCAGTGTTGTGCATAAAGATAAAAATGTAAACTTATGGCTGGCTTTGATCCCTTGGAGTTACTACCATAGGATAGCATTGGTAAAAGTTAGGAAAATATGAGTCATGTAACAAACAAAATGGTAAAATAAAAAGGAGATTTTACTTCATAATTCTCCTAGCTTCGATGACATAACCCAATATTAAAAGTTGTAATTTGTGCACTCCATTTTTCATTGTTTCATTTTTGTAGAAGCTGTCTCCATAACGCATTGAATTATCAATAAAATTATGTTTTATTTTAGACTATAGAAACTTAGCACAGAGGCAATGAACTCTAAGTTATGTGGAATGAGCTGCTCATTGATAAGCTAACCATGGTTATTAGATTACTCAACAGCGTTTAATTGACTTTGGTGAATTTATTCTACCTTGTAAGTAGTCTGAAGGCAGAGTTGAAAAATGCCAATTTTGGTATTGAGTAAAACAAAAAATTTATAGCAAAGCACAATTAAAGTTTAAGAGTTTTTCTGTCAATATACATTCTTTTTTGCATTTACTACAATAAACATGCATATTTGTGCATTATGTAAGCAGTCTATATAATGCATACAATTAACTATTTTAAAGTGATACACTTTATTTTTAAGACACAGAAACACATATTTCCTCTTAAATAGAGAATCCACAATAAAAAGATCAATAATGATCATGGAAAAAATAATTCTTTCATGCTTACCAAAGAGATCTACAAATTATAATGCTGGTCTTATGGGCCAGCAGTTTTCTTGTCTGCCTTACACCACCCCAAAATAGGCATAGATGATATTTTATGTGTCTTGAGTTTGCCCCCAAATTCCCCTACAGGAGATTTGTGTAAATTGATTTAACTCACTCCTAGAACTCAATCTCATTTATTGTGTCTTTGGGATATACTTAGATTTTGTCAGCAAATGACTGAACTCCAAAAGAATGTATTCCAAGAAATTATTCACATTGCTTGATTTTATTGAAAATCCATTGCAATGAAATTTTAGTTTTAGTTTCAGAACAAAGTGAGAGCTAACTTTTGCACAAAAAGACTTTTTCCCCCCAAAATAGAGGCATTTTTCACAATAATATTCATTTTATAGGGCTTTACTTGTGTATGCATTTTCATTTCAGCCTTTAAATCAGGGATCAAAAACTTTTTCTGTAAAGAGCTATATAGTGAATAATTTTGGCTTTGCAAGTCCTGTGGTCTCTGTTGTAGCTACTCGACTTTGCAGTTGTAGCCTAAAAACAGCCACAGACTTTAGGTAAACAAATGGGTGTGGCAGTTTTCAAATACAGTTTTATTTACGATAGGCAGAGGGCCAGATTTGGCCCCCAAGTCTTTGGTTTTTCAATTTCTGCTTTAAATAATTGTCAGGTTCAGGGGAACCTACTTTTAAAAAAAATATGGATTAAAAATAACATATTCCTAAGACAGAACATTTAAAATGTGTATGAAATTGAAGTGAGGAATTAGGTACTAATCTTCTGAGCAGCTTGAAGAAGCCATGGTTTTCTTTACTATAACTGAAATTACACACAATCACTAATAACCATTTACATTTAAATAAATAATGCATATTTAAATTTTTCCTCATTTACTCAGTTTTAAAATGTAGTGCTTATCCATTTTATAGAAAGAGAAATGCATACAGAAATACTTCAACTATATGACCTTAACTATATGTCTCAACAAGAATGAATTTCTCCACTTAGGGATGTTACTCAGTATTAAAATTTTTGTAGTTATTATGGAGGTTCATAAATTCAAGTATGTGGAATTGCAGAAATTGAGTCTTCATAAACCAGGGTATAGTGGTGATTTGGCTATAATTTTAACAGTTTTGTCCTCTGCTATTACAGAAAAAAATGATTTATACACCCTTCATAGAAGGAAGATTTAGGCTTGTATTTCAGATTAAAACTATATGTGGAAATATATATAGCCACTGAATTTAAATGAAGATAGAAGACCTTTGGAACTGCTAAACTTAACTTCTGTTGATGAAATTACATTATCCACATAAATGAATCATTTTATTTTCTCCTAATTCAGAGAGTGAAGAGTCTCTGTTTTCCTTCTAAGAATTTACCCCTTAAATTTTGCCTGTGATTATATTCTCTCCCACATGTTCTTTATTTTGCTTCATCAACTAGTTGCACATTTCTTCTTTATAGCTACTTCCTTTCAACCTATAAACATGACCAAGTCACCTTTTTACTAAAAAGAAAACAAAACAAAATTTATTTCTACTCTTGTCTACCTTTGTGGATCTCTCTCTTTGTCATTCGAATATTTTGGTAGAGTACACTAAACTAGCAGTTTCTGGTTCAACAGAGCACCATTCATCACTTAACCTGTTATTAGATGAATCGTGCCTTAACATCCCACTTCACACATTATCCCTGGAAACTTGGTCCTCGTTTTATGCATTGTTCAAAGAATATTGTTTAATATATCTTATCCAATTCCTTTTTTCCTGGTTTTATTACACCACACCCTCCTAATTTCACTGTTTCTACTTATTTAAGCCATACAGCTCTGGAGGTACTAACTAGTTTGTATTTTGTGCCATTTACTTAACTTTAGTAAATTAGCACAACCTTTATGAAAAACAATATAGAGATTTCTCAAAGAACTAAAAATAGGATTACCATTCAATCTGGCAACCCCACTACTAGGAATATACCTAAAGGGAAAGAACTCATTATATCAAAATGATACCTCCATTCATATGTTTATCACAGCATTATTCACAGCAATAAAGATATGGAATCAACCTGAATGTCTGTCAATGGATGATTGGATAAAGAAAACGTGGCATATATGTGCTATGGAATACTACTCAGCCATTAAAAACAAATGAAATAATGTCTTTCATAGCAACATGGATGGAACTGGAGGACATTATCATGAGTGAAATAACTCAAACGAAAGTCAAATACTGCACTCTCACTTATAAATGGAAGCTAAACAGTGAGTACAATTGGATATATGGAGTGGAATACTAGATGCTGGAGGCTCCAAAAGGTGGGAGGGTGAGAGGTAGATGAGGATCGAAAAATTACCTATTGGGTATAATGCTCACTATTTGGGTGATGGGTACACTAAAAGGCCAGAGTCACCACTATGCAATGTAATAAATATGCACCTGTAACCCCCAAATTTGTAAAAGTAATTTAAAAACTACTAGCTACCTCAGAGAAGTTTTGTTAGTTCTAAATAAGTTACTACATATAAAGCACTTAGAATAGCATGGCATATAGTAAGCACTAAATGAATGCTAACTATAATTACAACTTATTTTCTACTTTTACTTTCTCTTTTTTAGTTTGTCTTCTAACTTTTCCTTAAATATGTGTTTTCCCCTTGCTTTTGGAGTTAGTTCACTTTGCTTTTTATTTCATCACTCTCTAAGGTAAGCTATACTAGAGGAGGCATCACTGCATTGTGTCTAAGGGCCCCAAATTAAAACCAGACTGTCTGGGCTCAAATGCAAACTGACTTCACAAGCTGTGTAATCTTATGCAAGTAACTCAGTCTCTCTGTGCTTCAATTTTTTAAATCTGTAAAGTAGAAACAATAAAAATATCTCCTTCATGGGACTGTTGCAAGGATTAAAAATATTAATCATGCTTGGTACACAGTAAGTCATATTTAAGTACCGATTGGTGCTATATTCTTCTTACTTTTATTAATTCCCCTGAAATTGATACTACATTTTTTTCTGATGTCTCTCCAACATCTCTTGCCATGCCAAATCTTCCATTGGGTTTTATATTCCTGAACACTGATACACAGCAGGACAGCTCCACCTGAATGATTTATAAGAGCTTCCAATTCAACACAGCCAAAAGTTAACTCAACAACTTTCTCCCAAACGTGCTTCTTCTCCTGTATTATTGGAATCATGTTACTGTGCCATTAGCCACACAGACACTCAAACAATAAACATGTGAATATTTTGTGATTGCTTCTCTTTTTTCTCAAATATGAAATCCACTTAATATTATCTCATAAAAATTGAAACCTGTCTTCTCCCTTTCTACTAATACTGTTTAGTTCATGTGGCACAAAATTTTTTCAATAACTATTGAAATATCATCCTAAATGTTCTTGACATTCTGTTTATCTCCTAAGTCTGTGTGCCAGTTTCTAGAATAATTTGTGTACACAGTCAAGCTAAGTTGTTCTCATTGGCTTAGAGACAAACTGAAATGGATTCCTTGATCTGTCTACTCATTTTTGCATCCTCATTTCTAGCCATGATTTACATGTACCATATTGTTTTTCATCTTGTAACATAAGCTAACATTATTCTCTCTACTAATTACCCTCTACTCATCCTTTAAGATGTGGCTCAAATGTCATCTCTGCCATGAATCGTTTCCCAGTTGGTTATTATGCCACCACCCTACCCAATCTCTTGGTTGAGACAATTTTCTTTTTCCTTGGTTTCAACAGAATCTTTAAGGAACACATATAATTATCTGTTTGCACTCTTGTCTTTATTACAAGGCTGTAAACTTCACAAGAGCTAAGATGTATTTATTCATGGCCTATTAAAGTAGGCTCCGAGTAGATATTTACTGAGTTCAAAACACCAATTGCAGACAGTTGAACAGAGAGAAGAGAACAGAAGGTCCAAAATAGTATTCCATCTGAGATGCTAAACAGCCTTCACATTTCTTAATAGTGAAAAATATAGCAAAGCACATTGCTACAATGTGTATGAGGCAATCACTTGCAAATCATCTGGTCTTGAAGGCATGAACACATTAAGAGTTGTTTTTAAGCATGAAGATTTATACTTAATACTGTGTGTTCCTATCACCTCAATGACTACCTACTTCCACCTTTATCCCCATCCCAACATACTATAATCTTAATACAATAACCAAAGTGATCTTTTTAAATACAAATGTTAATGATGTCACAGCTCTGCTGAAAATACACAATGGTTTCCTTTTTAATTCAGAACACCAAAACCCTATGAAATGGCTATAGGTCCCTGCGTGAGCTTTTCCTTGACCTCACCTCTCTGGTTCATGGTCTATTAGTCTCCCTACTGCTCACTAACCTCCAGTCACACTGCTCTTCACTCAGCTGTTCTTTGAGTATATCACATATGCTCCTATCTCAAGAGTCTTAGCATCTGCTGTTCCCATTGTCCAGAAAGTTTTTATCTCATACTGTTACATGACCTATGCCCTCACTTTTTTCAGATTTTTTTTCCAAATGTCACTTTTATGGTGACCTTCTTAGTGAGGCCTTCTATGGCCACCCTTTTAAAATTCTAACCTCTCCCTATAATTTAATCTCCCTTGCATTTTTTTCTTTATCATTATCTGATATATTTAATATCATTCTTAGTCATTATTGTTATTATTTTCTTTCCACATTCTTCAGAATATAAGTTCTATAAGGCAGGACATAGTAAGTGCTTAATAAATAAATTCAAACAAATGAATAAAACATTTCTTTTAGTGAAAAAACACCCAATAAAATTAGATGGAGTACTCTGTATTTTATATCTACATAGGCTCAAATGGTGGCTCACATTTTCCTTGATATAGAAGTCATCTTGTACTACCAATAGGCATATAGTAGAAGCTTGAAAAGGAAATTTGAGAATGGAAATACATTGATGTCTATATTGTGTATGTTGTGTAACAATGGTTCCTGGCATCAGTGCTTAGAGTGGCGATGGTTCAAATTATGGGCAGGTTCTCTGGCATCTGACAATGAGGAGTAATGCCTTTGTCATTAAGCCTGCAGCAGCATGCTCCACTCAACTCTGACAAAGAAAAATCTATATAAGGATCAATCTGACATCAGGAGCATTTTTTAGAAATTGAATCCCAGAACTTCTGCTATAAGCAGTTTTCCATTTGTGTTATGTCCCAAAGCATCTGAAGCTGTATTTAGAATTTTGATTTCAGAAGATTTTGTGTTTTAGTAGAAATTACATAGACACCTGGATTTGAACCTACTTTACTGGCTGCAAGTAACCAGGGGAGTTATTAAATATCCTGTGCCTCAGTTACCTCATCTATAAAACAATTCTTTATAATAAAATGGTATATTCCATAAAATACACATAGAACAGTCCTTGGTACTGTAGCACTGAATGTGAAACAGCACAGCTTTCGAGTTAGGAATACCTGAGTTCAAACGTCAGGTCTGTCCCTAACTTTGTGTATGAGCTATAACTCTCTGAGTTTTAGCTTCTGCATGTGTAAGATGAAGAAAATTATGTCTAACATGCAGTTGTGAGATCTAGGAATAACCTGGTACCTACTCAGTTCCTGTTTGCAATAGGTACATATAAATAATAGCCTCAGTTATCAATTCTGTTTATGAGTCTCTTTTCTCTCAGGATATCATAATAATTGATGCTATACATAGTATCTTATATATTTAATTTACATTTATAATTCTTAATAACTTATTATTACTTAATTATAATTAATAAGGTCTACAAGTCAAGGGAAAATGCTCCACATGAAGTATCTAGCAAAGTTGGCTTTCAATAAATACTTATAAATAAAATATATAGAGATTATGTTCCATTTGCTTTGTTTAAGAAAGCAGGAGTCTATAAACTGCATATTTGAGAGAACCACTATAATCTAGAGTTTAGAAAGTAGACAATTGAGTTTCTAAGTGCTTTCTAACAATTCAGGTATGTTTCTAAAGATTAATTCAGTTTCTAAAGATTAATTTGGGCAAAAACTTTATCCACATGAATATGTTGCTTCTGGATAACTCCAGAGGGCTGAGTTTGAATCTGAACAGGCAGACATTACAGAATCAAAAATTTCAGTTAAATAAAAGGAAGATGTATATACTCTGTGGTCTGATAAATTAATGACTTCTCTTTGTTTGTAGCATCAGAGATGAACCCTGATGAGCATCGTCAGGGGTACTCTATAAAGCACTTACCCAGGAGGTAAGAATTAACTAGGTGAAAATAAATATCCTTCAAAATGGTCTAGATTTGATAAGAAAGTGATTTCTTATCAAAATAAAGATTTGATAAGAAAGTGATTTCTTATCAAAATAAAGATTTGATAAGAAAGTGATTTCTTATCAAAATAAAGATTTGATAAGAAAGTAATTATGTTTCACAAAAAAGAGACATATAAATGGCAATAGTGGAAAAATTGTTATTAAAGAAAATTAAGAACTCACATGCAAAGTTATTCTGCTTTGTGTATACATCATGTATATTCAGCCTTTAATAAAGTCAGAATTTTGTGTTTTGTTTTATATTGTGAATAAATCAATCCGTATATAGCTAGGTCCTTAAAAGCCAAGTATTATTATTAGCTGATTATGACATAACTTTTGATGCAAAGAGTAAATTCAAAGTCCAAATATCAGCAAATACATTAGTTGGGGAAATTTGAATGTAGTTGAAAATAGGTACTAAAAATTATAGGAATGGAGAAGTAGATTATATCAACAATATGAGAAAGAACCTTATAATTGAACATTGATGGATTCAGCATGTCAAATGATTTGGTAAAGATTTCCAAATGAGGCAGATTATGGTGAGTTCCAAATTAGAAACAGAACATACTGAGTGAGGAAAACCACTGATAAAAGAATTACTTCACTGTCTTCTGAAGCCATTCAGCTTGGAGGAACTATGGAAGATTATCAGGTCCTTTTCTGCCAAGGGAATTACAAGGAATTTAAAAAGCCATTTCACCTCAGATTTGTGAAGTGGAAAATACTTTAATACTAAATCAACAACTTAACTCAGTGCAATATGCTGTACATTTTTGGACATGTGTTTATTCTTATGACATCATGAACAGAATTTTCCTTTCCTGATTGCATTTCTATATTATTTCTAATAGCCTTTGTTAGGTTGAGGTGACTTTCTTTCTAAAACCTGTCCAAAGAATCAAGGATTTACAAATTTAATTATCTCCCAGAATGTACTGTATGATTTTGATCTAAAAACATGTTAGGTTTTAAATTTCACGATAGGCTAGGAAAAAAGGAATAAAAAGTTCAAAGTGTTCCGCATTTGGAATCAGTAATTTTGTATTCCAATGACAAATGTTTAGTCTGCAGTGCCAAAACGAGGTGAAGCCTTCCATTGATTCACTCTCTATCCAAAATGCACCTATTACCTCTTCTCTGTAATAGAGACAGGTCTCTAGAGCTTATTTTCATTATTCAACTTGCAACCTTTTCTTTACCAAGGATAATTTTTTCAATATTCATCATTTAATATTCAATATTATTTCTCCTTCTAAAATATCCATTTTTTTTTCTACTTGCTATCTTTGTAATTCCACTTTTGTGAAACTGAGTTCAAAGCCTACATCACCATGATCTGCCTTACCTAACTGCTTTATGCCCTGGACCTCTTTATGCCCTGGACTCTTTCTATAGACAGCCCTTGACTCACATTCTTTTATCCAGTAACTGCCTCCTATTCTACACATGTGCTTTAAAGCTGCCTATTCTTCCATCTCTACAAGCATCCAAGTCATTCCTCTCCCATCATTTAGATGATGAAAGAGCGGGGTCTTTCCTTTGTTCCCAGCGGTCAAGAACCCTTGTGTCAATGTCTCATATATAATTGAAAAATTTTCTTCTACAATGAGCTTAATGTTGTAGCTGTGTTGTTATTTTAATTCTGTTATTATTCATATGTCTAAGACATATGTGTTAATGATAATTAAGTTTTGCTATTTCTCTACAACACTGCCTTGGGAGTCATGATTTAAGACTATCATTTTGACAACATGACCATAAAATCATGAGTTATAAGTACCTCTTTAAAAAATTCTTACTTCCAAGATCCAAATTAATGATTTCTATGTATGTGTATAGCATATATATATTTATATAGTATATGTATATAAAATCTATATGTATATATATTTAAATTATTGTGTGTATATAAATCACACATAACAAATAAAACTGACTTATTAAATAAGGCATGCATAGTACAACAGCTAGCTTCATTTTTCAGCATCCAAATAAATCATCTATTTACTGATCACACACTATATGCAAAATACTATGTTTTGAATATGCAGCTATGAATTACCTCCTCTTTTCTTGTCTCACGTCCTTTCTGTACAAACCAGATAACTTTCGCTTGTAAAGATCGTGGGGTACATTCCAGCAAAGTACTGTTGTTCTCTATGCCATAAGCCAGATGTTCTTCAGTCTTATCCAAAGCATCCCCTACAACAGGAACATTAATGCCATCTTTGAGACTTAGATTTTATAGGTAAATAAATTTTTCAAACATTATTTAGATCCCTGCAGTAACATGATTAACTCATTACTTATTGCTTATTTCTGCAAAAGGTAATTTAAAGGAATTATTTAGAAAGAGTGGCATACCAAAATTTAGGCATGAAACAAGCAAGCAGGCTATGGGGTGGGACAGAAGTAGGTAACTGAGAGTCTGGTTCCAAAGGATGGGACAGGATAGTCAAGGCAGTAAGAAGCATCAGTGTTAAACTCATGGAAAGTCTATTGCAACCTCTATTGAGGGAAGAGAAAGGGAACACCAAAGCACAGGACAAAATTCGTGGATACAAACAAAAGCAGACACCAGAAATGCAGGCAAAATGCCACTACATAAACACAAATGTGGATTATATCTTGACAAGGGATTGCATTTATCTGGGTGTTGGGCTGCTGTAGTGAGAAGAGAATATGAGACTGAACCAGGGACTTTGTGAAATAAAGCTTGATTATAATCTGTGTCTTGGACCAGAAAGGCTCTTACTGGACTTGAACTCAAATTTGCACACAGGCAAGTACACTTAGCTGCAGTAGGGAATAAAAGGAAGCAGGATTACTCTCTCTTTATTTTAAACTAAGACAAATTCAATAACTGGACCTCTGGATTTATTTTTCCTATGCCTGAATCCTACTCACCTTCAGAACTGACCCCTAAACTTCCCTAAGATGAAGGTCCTACTTTTCTCTTGCTAGTATTCCCAGAGGCTTGAGTCCTCCACTGAATCCTGAGTCAGTCTGGGGTCCAACAAATTGATGCTGGAGCACAGTCTCTGGCTCTGCGTATAGCCACCGCTGGTTTCTCATTTATGGTGTCCCTTCTTATTATTACTTCCTAGTGAGCTCAGTGACACTAAATACAGCCTATTCAACAGTCACTACCATAATAGAAAGAGTCAGGAGTTAACAGAGAAGTTCTTTCTTATATTCCTTACTTTTGCCTAAAGATGAGATTTCCTCCATTCCTAACCCATCAGTTACCACCACCCTATCACCTTTATTGAACCACCAACCCCAGCCCTAAGCTTGGTCAACTTAGATAAAAGAGTAAAAGCTTTTTCACTTTATCTATCCCAAAGCTTAGGAGATGACTTGATAGAAGTAATACCAGTTGATAAAATCACCAGAAGGTACGTAACATGGTGAAGATAGTCCCCAGTATGAGATAAAGAGGTAAGTCATAAGAGTCACTGTGGCATCAACCACCTAAAGTATGCAGCATTCTTGTTCTAGGGTTTCTTTGTTTTAATAATTAGTTTAATAATAAAGCTTGGTGGTAGCACATAAAACTTATTTTCCTAATCAGGTAAAAATTAGTCAAATTTTCAAAATTTTAACTACATGTCAGAGAAAAAGAATACTTATTACATTGTTCTAGTATACATGAATCACAAAGAAAAAAAGGACTCTTTTTAAGAAGTTTGTAGTTTATGTTCAATGTATTCTCTGAGTAACCCAGAACAACTGATTTTCTATGGATTACCAACAAACTGTTGTCCAAAGCACTGCTGAGCTGCATTTCCATGTCGAACATCTTGTCTCCGGAAACGCCTGAAAGAAAGTAAATGCATTTAGATGTTCATTTTTTCAATTTTCCAGACTTTAAAATGCAGCCAATTGCATTTCATATACAAGTAGTATTCTGCTACTGAAAAAAATGATCATTCATATGAAAAAAGAATAAAATCCAAGTTTCATAGTTTTTCATATTTCCATTATATGTTCTTCAGTAGCTAAGATCTATGTTACCCTGTTCTTTATTTACATAATGTTGAATTCTGGAAACTCAAACAACAATGGAATGTATTTCTCTTTACTTTTTGTTAAAAATTTAGTTCAACAAGAAATCTTCTAGTTTGAGAATGTCTTGAATGGTAAGGTATTTGAGCAGATAAAGACAATGGGATTTGAAGTAAAGTATTTATTGAGTACAAAACAGTTATTTTGAGTATAAAACTCCCATATATAATAAAGTGCAAATGAAAAAGGTGTTAAAATCCAAATAGTTTGTTCTATAGCCATTATAATCAATTAGTACAAATAGAATTTCTAACAATAAGACATAAACTAATAATATACTGTAGTCAGCTTACTTTTATTCAGATATAACATTGCCTCTATTCAATGTGATAGTGTGTTTTTCATGTTTAGCAGAATTTTGTGCATCTAGTGGGACTCAAGAAATATTAGTATTTTCCCCCTCAATCTGCCTCGTATAATTAGAGTCATTTCTAGTATTGTTTTAATTTCATAGATTGTTTAGATATATAACTGAAAAAAATACAATATTCTGTATCTGCGGAAAAATTCCAGAATATATATGTTTATATATATATAACGTTATATATATGTTTATATATATATAACATTATATATATGTTTATATATATATAACATTATATATATAAAATTCCAGAATATATGTAATATACATATGTTTCGAATATATAAAATATTATATGTATATGTAATTCAAGAATATATATATTATGTATATAATATAATGTTTTGAATATATATAAAAACATTAGCCGGGCATGGTGGCTCACGCCTGTAATCCTAGCACTTTGGGAGGCCAAGACGGGTGGATCATGAGCTCAGGAGTTCGAGACCAGCCTGACCAACATGGTGAAACCCCGTGTCTACTAAAAATACAAAAATTAGTCGGGCGTGGTGGTGTGCGCCTGTAGTCCCAGCTACTCAGGAGACTGAGACAGGAGAATCGCCTGAAACCGGGAGGTGAAGGTTCCAGTGAGCCAAGATTGCACCACTGCACTCCAGCCTGGCAATGAAATGATACCCCATCTCAAAAAATAAAAAAATAAAAAAAAATATATATATATCTTTAAATATATAATATAACATTATATATAAAATGATTTAATATGTAAGCCTTTTTTCTGAGGAATTAAACAATGAGAATTATCATTAGTATTAATAGTATTGAAATTCTAAAATCAAGAACTCTGGCATACTTAATTTAGCTTAGAGATTAAAATAGAAGTATTACATAAAGGTAGAAAATACCACTTGCTTCTCTAATTCATGGCATTTCTTCAAGACTGAGGGAAAAACAGAAGGCAAAGCAGAAGTTTTACCCTAGAGGGTGATAGCATAGCTCCCAAAGTGACAATGAGATGCTTTAACCATATGCAATGATGAAATTTGGAAAAGTGAACCAGATTCAATTCCCAATACCACCACTAATGTTCTGTATGATCTTATGCATATTTCTTCCCTTTCCTGGCTCTTTGTGTCCTCCCTTGTAAAATAGAGGTGGCAAAATGACACCTAAAATCTATTTCAGTCTTTTTTTTTTTTTTCATTCTAGGGTGTCCTTACTGTCTCTAAATAACAATAATAGAATGCTATTTCAAGAGATCAAGTGCTTTCTCACACAGGAGTTCAGATCTTATTTAACATATTAATAGATATTAAAAACTAGGGCAGATCAACATCTCCAATCAATTTTTGGGATTATGACCTGTGTACAAAAGTATGTTTTAGTTTTAGTTTTTTTTTAATGTAGAGATTGCTGATTAGAAAATCTTACCTAAAAACCTGAGATTTTACAAAGTTAATATTAGATCTGCCACATGTATCATTCTACTGAACTAGATTGAAAATAGAGCTTATGAAAAAATAACAAGCAAAAGTAGAAAGTTGTATGATTCTATATTGTTTTATACTAGTATGTACAATTATTATACAACCAATAGCAGATCAAGATGAGAATTAAAATGCTGTTGTTAATCCCTCACTTTGTTGAGTATTGCTTCTATATTGAGAACCTAAGGGCTGATGAGCAATAATGAATAATGGATAGGAATAAAATCAACAAAATGAGAAATGGCTTCCACTTGGCCGAGATGGTGTTGTATAAAGATTATTATACAAGTGAGATGAGGATAAGGAAACTACAATCAAATAATTCTAGATAAGCAATGTCAAGAACTGAGTGCAAAAATATCGCTGAAAGTTATTGGAAACATACATTTAAAAAGAAAGACATCACATTCTCCAGCAAGGTTTCAGTTCATTTTATACTATCCCCGTATAGTTGTCCTTTATTTCAGTATACATATATACATACACACATATATACACGTATATATTACATGTATACATACACACACATACACGTATATATTACATGTATACATACACACATATACACGTATATATTACATGTATACATACACACATATATACACGTATATATTA
Organism: Homo sapiens; assembly: GCF_000001405.40. Taxonomy (NCBI): domain Eukaryota; kingdom Metazoa; phylum Chordata; class Mammalia; order Primates; family Hominidae; genus Homo; species Homo sapiens. The sequence continues at coordinate 83,389,724 of NC_000007.14, forward strand.
CATGTATACATATATACACGTATATATTACATGTATACATATATACACGTATATATTACATGTATACATATATACACGTATATATTACATGTATACATATATACACGTATATATTACATGTATACATATATACACGTATATATTACATGTATACATATATACACGTATATATTACATGTATACATATATACACGTATATATTACATGTATACATATATACACGTATATGTGTATAGTGTATACGTATACACATATATACGCGTATATGTGTATACGTATACACATATATACGCGTATATGTGTATACGTATACACATATATGCGCGTATACGTGTGCACATATATGCGCGTATACGTGTGCACATATATGCGCGTATACGTGTGCACATATATGCGCGTATACGTGTGCACATATATGCGCGTATACGTGTGCACATATATGCGCGTATACGTGTGCACATATATGCGCGTATACGTGTGCACATATATGCGCGTATATATGCGCGTATATATGCGCGTATATATGCGCGTATATATGCGCGTATATATGTGTATATTACATATTTACACTATATATATATGGAGAAGTTTCAGAAAGTTGAACAAATTTGCTTTCATTCTCAAAATTGCGTATTATTCTTATATCTCTAGTCTTTTAGACATATTTAAAGAGAACACTGGAAATAGACAAAATAGAAGAGCAAGGGGAAGAAAAAGATTCTAGCATTATAAACCATAGTGTATTTTGGAAGATCATTTTAAACAAGTGGTTTGGATTGTGAATTACTGTTTTTCCCCTGTTGACTCATTTTCACTCTTTGAGCAGAAAAGTATTTATTTTAATGACCTGTTTTCAATTTCTGCTTCTATTCAGGTCTGAAGCAAAAATGATCTGCTATAAAAGCAAACTATTTTACCTTCATGTGTTGGAACTTATCCAAAAAGTTATCTTCCAGGGGTAGTGATGGTTCAAAAGAATTTGACAGCACTGAAAGATCTCCATTACATGTCACTGAACTGAACTAATTCATTTACGAGCACGGCTTCTGATTCCAGCATTTCATGCCTTCCTGTCTACTATTTTTCTCATTCACTTGACTTTTTCTAAGTAACTCTTTTTGTCCACCACATCTACTGTATTAACAAGCTTAAGGCTGGACACTGCTAAAAGATGCACCATATAGAAAAATTAACTATGGAAACTGCTCAATTAAAATTCATTATCACTACTGCATGCCTAACACAAAACCCTGTCATTCATAAGCATTTGGTGCAAGGCTTGTAAACAGTTTTATTGTTGCTATGACAATAAAATAATTAATGCTGTTATTCGTGGTTACATTCACATTCTACCCTCATATTCTTCTATTTCACTCCTGACCCATGGTACGGCATGCTTGTTTTTAAGCATTCTATTTCTTTGTGCAGACAATTAATTCCCTTTGACTGGAATTTTCTTATATCTCTACCTTCAAGATTAAGCTCAAAAGTGAGATTATTTTGAGAATTAAATAAAGTATTATATGCATTGCTCTTAATCCAATAGCTCATTCATAGTAAGTGCTCAACAGCAAGCTACTACTATCATTATCTACAATTCCATTCTTCACTTTAGGTTCCAATTTCCTTTAGACAAGAGGTTATGCTTGTTTCTTCATATCCCTGGCACATAGTACAGTAATTGGCTTAATAGGTGAATACACTAATAATTAATATTTTCAAATAATTATGTGACTATATTCTTCAAGAATTGTTTTCAAACATCAACAAGCACGTCTGCAAAATCAATTAATTTGCTCAATTCTTTAATACATTTGGTAAATTTAGTTCAGAAATGTCCTCTCGAAGCATAATTTTACTATCCACTTATTATATCATTTTTTTAAAATACTCACTGGAGTGTTAATTTTGCTCAAGTAAAATTAACAAAAGTTTTGAATTAGTGAAGTTTTAATGAGATTCTGCTATATATTTGAACCTATAAAACAAGAACTACACTAAATTGGGTTAAATTATATTCTGAAAAATGTTTACAGAAAAGTAACCCAAAGTTAAATAATAAAAATAATTGAAATTAATACAAACTGTTTTTCAGTAAGAAAATTGTCTATACTTCTATTGTTTGCTTTATTTTGTCTTTGGTCATTTTATTGCAAGAAAGAAACTGCTTATTCTGTAAGAAATAAAAATACTTTTTTTCCTGAGGTATTTCCACAAAGAATGCACAACTTCATATGGCTTGAGTGAAGAGATATCCTTATTCTTCAAAATACTTAACTGCACCTCAAGATCTCTGCTTAAAGAATCCTGGGATTTACCTTCTGTAGGAAATGGCAATGACCTCACAGAATTGTAGGCATTGGAGTTTGGAGGTCTTTAAGTACCTTTCATTTGTGTTGAATTAAATCACACATTTCATTAATTATACAGGTCATGCATTTGCCTAGGAGTTAAAATATTCACTTTCAAAATGAAATAAATGAAGACCAGCTGGTAGAGAGGACATGGGGCAAATGCAGGATGTATTTTAGAATTTCTTTATTGATTTTCCTTTTAAGTCTTTGAATCTCTCATGTGTGGTGGCTTGTCGTTTCCACATTTTAACTTTATCTGAACTCGTTTCATGTCTTGCAGCAAAAGTTTCAAAAGAGGGAAAAACTGACTCAAACCTGGGTGAAAAAATAAAAGGTCAACAGCATGTTCAGTGCCAGTCTCTGTACACAATAATTAATACAGGTATTTTCTGGAAAACTTCAAGTTAAAAAAAAAAAAAAAAAAGCATTAGGGTTTTCCTAAGCAAGGGAAATAGTTAATCAGGTAGCACGTCTCACCTTTTTGCATGTGTGCCTGTTGGGTAATACCGGGAGCAGGATATGCCATCCCAGGCACAGTAAGGGTCTCGAGCCAGGCAGCAGTCAGCACAAGCACTTCCATACATGTCACAGTGATGGAATCTGACTTGAGCCACAGCAGAAGCAGATCCAATATACAGCTGTTGCTACAGAAATCAGAAAGAGGTCACTAGCAGAAATGGACAAAACTTTCACTGAGCTATTACACCTAGTTTTCACATTTATACACAATCACCTCAGAAAAAATTCACTTAAATTTAATTCACTTAAATTAGCAGTTTCAGGAGTTTGAGACCAGCCTGCACAACATGGCAAAACCCCATCTCTACTAAAAATACAAAAAATTAGCCAGGCATGGTGGCGGATGCCTGTAATCTCAGCTACTCTGGAGGTTAAGGCAGGAGAATTGCTTGAACCTAGGATGTGGAGGTGGAACCTGGGCGACAAGAGAGAAACTCCATCTCAAAAAAAAAAAAAAAAAATTATAGCAGTTGTTCAATATAGATAATATTTATACTTTCATTTCTCTAATATTTGAGAAACATTCATAGACATAAATGCAGGAGTACCAAAATTGCTACACTGAACTTGACAAGAACTCAAGAAGCTGTGTTCATTATCTTGCATTACCCAACACTGTGGATCTTCCTTTAAAGATCTATAGAAACGGCTGGGTTTATGCCTGTAGTGGCTTATGCCTGTAATCCCAGCACTTTGGGAGGCTAAGGCAGGTAAATTGCTTGAGCCCAGGAGTTTGAGACCAGCCTGGGCAACATGGCGAAACCCTGTCTCTACAAAAAATACAAAAATTAGCTGGTAATATGTGCCTGTGGTCTCAGCTACTCACGAGGCTGACACAGAAGGATGACCTGACCCTGGGGAGGTTGAGTCTGCAGTGAGCTGTAATTGCACCACTGAACTCCAGCCTGGGTGACACAGTGAGACTTTATCTCAAAAACAGAAAACAAATCTATAGCAAAAACTAATAAGAGATTTGGAAAGCAAATAGTCTTTTAAATATTGACATATAACATTTAGAAGAGTGATGTGTATATCTATCTATCTATCTACAGAACAAGTGGCTGAACATTTAATATAATATCTTTCCTTTTGCCTGAACATGAAGGATTATTTATAAATAAATTTGGGGCAATATATGCAACAACTGTTTCTAAAGAAGTTTACACCAAACTGATTTCAGTGAAGTGGAAAGGAGGTGTGTTTCCTTGCACACTATTGGATTATCATTGTTCTTGCACACTATTGGATTATCATTGTTACCATTGTTTTTGAAAAACATTAGTGAAAAATAACCAGGGAATAAAGTGTTATCATGATTGTAGAAGTAAAACTACTCTCATCTTCCTTTCTATAGAGATAGAAAATGAAAACAAGTATCAAATGTAAATCATGATAAACTTTTGTCAGAATCAATCAATGGACATAAAGTTTCAGTCAAACAAGATTAATAAGGTTTAGAGGTCTGCAGTATAACACTGTACCTATAACCATTAAAAATGTATTGTATGCTTAATATTTTGTTAACAGGGTAGATCACATGTTAAAAGTTCTTACTACAATAAAATAAAGTAATAAAAGAAAAATAAAACTGTAATAAGTTCATATTTAAGCACATGTACTAATGTTCTCATATCCTTTGACCTTACCTTAGCTCACATATAGAACACACACACCTACACACACACACACACAGAACTTACCCGCTTTGAAGAAATCTCCATAGAAATAATAGGAACTGGATCCTGAAATTTTAAAAAAGTTTTCATTTTTAAGAAAACAGTATAAAAACATTTACCTTAATATGGTTGTAAACCCCTGAAATTACATTACTTATATAAGTGGTTATGTGTTAAGTACTGTATAGCTTTCATTTTAGTAAACCAATATGCAAACACAATTAAAATGCAGCTTTAAAAACTTGTTTCTAACAGGGTGGGCAGATATGCAGATGAGAAGAGCAGCAGGAAATCTAACCAGCTTACTGTTTGGAATATGATTTTTGAATTTGTATTTGAATATTACTTGCGCTTTGGAAACTCAAGTATCTTTAAATAAAATAATAAAGTCAGAATGTTCTATTAAAGTAATTGAGTCATTAAAATGAAACCATTGTGTCTTTCAATAGGTGTTATTGCTAATAAACCAGGTGATTTTAATCATTTGAACCCAAACCTAAACAAAATATTTTTCTGTTGGAGTGATCATGGTGAATCATAATTAACCCAGGATTCTTTGAATGAGATGAATAACCTGATTTTCTTAGAACTGCACCAGAGGAAGGACAATTTATACCATAGCTTTGGGAACCAACATGTTGTTTTTGGATTGTTAAGGCTAGTGCATCCCTAAGGAGCACAATAAACTCAGATCAGCTGTGCAAGTGGAAAACCACAAGACAGGTGAAATCCACTCTGGGGATGATTATCCTTTGAAAAGCTGTTTGTTAAGAGGGAACATTTGATCCTCTATGTCAGTGTTTTTTTATTTTTTATTTTTACTTTAAACTACAGAATCTTTATGCCTTCATACATTCACTCAGGCAACAATGTTTCTTAAGAGTTTTCATGGACAAAACACTGTGGTGAGTGAATATTAAACATATTTCAGTTTATAACATGAAATGAAATCTTATGTAGAGTCCCAGAGTGCAAAATAAAAAAAAGCATAGCTGCTCCGGTTGATATAGGATAGTGGTTAGCTTTGAGTGTGGCTCTAGGGAATCTGTGTTCTAGTACAGCAAAGGCAAAATGTACTGCTTCTCATTTATAAAGTCTTTTCACATCTACCCATCATAAACATATAGAGCCAATCTTTGTTATTCACAGATTCTGTATTTGCAAATTAGCCTACTTGCTAAAATTAGTTGCAACCCCAATATCAAGATGTTCTGTGTTTTTAACTCATGGGCACATGCATGCTCAGAGTAGCAAAAAACTTGAGTCACAGGACATGCACATTCCCAGCTGAGATGAAACAAGGTGTCACTCTGCCTTCTTGTTTCAGCTTTCATAGTGTAAATAAATATCTTTTTCATGGACTATGTAGTGCCAAGATTTTCACATGTCTGTGCTTTTTGTTGATGTTTTGTTTTTAAAATGGCCCCCAAGCATAGCGCTGAAGTGCTGTTTAATGTTCCTAAATTCAAAAAAGCTGTGCTGTGCCTTAACGTTGAAAACTCTTAGATAAGCTTCATTCAGGCATGGATTATCGTGCTGTCAGCTGTGAGTTCGATGTTAGTTCATCAGCAATATATATTAAATAAGGTGTCTTTAAACACAAACACACATAAAAGAAGGTTACGTATTGATCTGTTGATAATTACGTTATAAATAGAAATTTGCTGGAACATAACCCTGTATTTCCCATGGGAGCAGTGGTCAGTATTCACTAGTTCAGTGTTACAACAACTTTGAAGACCAAAACTGCTGCAAATGATACGACTTGATGTGTGTGTGTGTGTGTGTGTGTGTGTGTATAAGTGCATATGTGCATTTATATATATGCACACATATATATGTGTATACACACATATATGTATACACACGTGCACCTATGTATGTTAAGTGTATCTGCATATGTAATTGTTTTTTCATGTCTTTTTTATTATCATCTTCTATTGTTTTTCTTTTTTAGTAAATTATTTGTATAATTAATGCACTTAATAAAAAGCAGTATGCTTATCTTGCCTCAATGTTCACAATATGAAAATGTATTTTTTTTTGTCAGTATTGATAGTACATTTACAAGATGTGACTGTAATACTGGCTCTGAAAATTATATGTAGTATAAATGTTATTTCTTTATAGTCACAGTTTATTCACTGAAATTCTTTCCATGCTGGGTAAATATTGATCTCTCAGTTGAAACGTCTGTAACAATCAAACAGATGCATTAGAATTTGAAATAATTCTTCACTTATATTAGCTCTGAATCCACAACATACCTGTTAGGGAAAAAAAAATGGACATAGTATCTTTCCTATTTACATCTCACTTGTAGTTGTAATGCATAAATTTGGTCTGTATTTTTTGCTTTAAATACCTTGAATATCTGAAGTTCTTCTAGAATTACTTCTTCCATTGATTCCATTTCTTGGTTGTAAATTGTGATTACTTTCAGCACAATTCCATTATCTGTAAGAAAACAAAACAAGAAATAAACTAGAATCTATGTCACAGTACGGTTTTCAAAAAAACCATGTAGCTGGCTGGGTGCAGTAGCTCATGCCTGTAATCACTTTGGGAGGCCAAGATGGGTGTATCTCTTGAGGTCAGGAGTTCAAGACTAGCCTGGCCAAGAAGGCAAAACCCTGTCTCTACTAAAAATACAAAAAAAATTAGCCAGGCATGGTGGTGGGCACCTGTAATCCCAGCTACTTGGGAGGCTGAGGAAGGAGAATTGCTTGAACCTGGGAAGCAGAGGTTGCAGTGGGCAAGATCATGACACTGCACTACAGCCTGGGGGACAGAGAAGCCTTCATCTAAGAAAAAAAAAAAAAAGTAGCGACTATAAATTCAAATAAAATTTGAAATCCAGAGGCATGAAACATGTTAATCACTGTCAGTTTAAAATAATATGATTACTTATAAACTCATATTTTTAATTAGCAAAATTAATTTTATATGCCTGGCCAAAAATGAGAGGAAATAATGATTTTTTCAAATAGTTTGATCCAAAAATCCAATCATAGATTCAAAAATCAAAATGTCTTTTGGAATTAATAAAACATAAGAGAGATGCCAAATTATTCTAGCTACTTTTTCTGTGATGCATGACGCAAGAAAATTTTTTTACCAAAAGCTACTTTTATGGTACGAAACTATACCTTTAGTCTTAGGGAATATTCCAAGCAACACACTGTGAAACTCATCATATATATAAAACATACACATACATGCAAGCACACACAGTTTTGGCAAGAAAAAAATCCAAGTATACACCATTGAGAGAAGTGTTTGTACCAGTCATTTAGTTTCCATAATTATCATTTATTTTTAAAGTTTATACTCATATTTTAAAATTCCATCTAATTTTTATCATTTCTGATATTCTGAACTTGTTCCTTCCTATAAAAATTTTAACAACACATTAATTTGCCTATACAAATAATTTAGTATAATGCTGGACATAATAATTTAGAAAAAAAAGAACACTTTGAATTTCTTCTCTAAGAGTTTCTATGCTATTTCAGCAGTTTGTTGAAATATTATCAAGTCTTATGGATGAGATAATAAAACTGGATTATAATTAAGCTAATAACAGTTACCTGTATTGTACACTACCCAAAGGAAACAAAAATTATCATCATTTTGAAAACAAAGCACACATATTAAATACTTGACAATTATATCAGGCAAAAAGCAAAGATAAGACTCAAATGATTAATTCGCAATTAGTGATTTTTTAATAAGGACCATATATGTATTGTATTAAAGCCGGTGTCTAGTAAATATTGGACAAAATATTATTTGTGGGATTTTTCAATGTTGTACCCATTTCATTCATTAAACATGTTCTTTTTTCTGAAAATCTGTGGTTCAATATGATGACACCTTTGACTTAAGCATGGTGTATATGGCAGCACAAATATATGCTTGATACTTCTGAAATTCTCTGGAATTACTTTGATCAATATGACAAGCAAGTATTTCTAAAAACATTCTTGGACTGTTATATGTGGCTTCTGCTTTCCAGGGCATTTAAAAATCACATACTAGGTTGGTGCAAATTTATTGCAGTTTTTGCCATTAAAGTAACAGAAAAAAACCGCAATTACTTTTGCACCAAACTAATACTTTAATTACTTTTATCAAATATTAGTATTGATTATGCAACTTTTAAAAATTTTGTTGGAAGTCACTATGAGTGAATTTATGGCCAAGTAATTTCAAGTTTGCTAAAGAAATCTGATGACACCGTTAATCATGAACCCACAGTGCTGAGCATATTATTAACATTAACTTCCTAAAATGAATGAATAAAATACAGCCTGTACCAGAGATCAATTTCTAAGAATAAGATAGATGTTTTCTTTTTTAAATCTTTGTTTTAAAAAACAAAAGGATGGCTGGGCATGGTGGCTTACGCCAGTAATACCAGCACTTTGGGAGGCTGAGGCAGGTGGATCACCTGAGGTCAGGAGTTCGAGACCAGCCTCACCAAAATGGAGAAACCCCTGTCTCTACTAAAAATACAAAATTAGGCGGGCATGGTGGCACATGCCTGTAATCCCAGCTACTCGGGAGGCTGAAGCAGGAGAATCGCTTGAGCCCGGGAGGCAGAGTTTGCAGTGAGCCAAGATCGTGCCATTGCACTCCAGCCTGGGCAACAGAGCAGGACCCCAGCTCAGGAAAAAACAAACAAACCAACAAAACAAAAAAAGCCACAAAAAACAAAACAAAAATAAAAACAAAGGGTTTATTGGAGAAGCCCAAGCACCAATATTAATATTAATATTACATCCTGTTTCCTGATCTGGGCTTATGCCAATATCTCTTGAGAATTATATATCTATAATTAAAGTCATGTATGTTAGAATGCTCACTTCTCTAAAGATCAACTACTGTAGCAATTATACTATGCTGAATAAGAAGAAAGACAATGAAAGAATCATTTTAAACACTTTAAAAATGACTAGGATTTTAAAACACTTCAAAGAATTTGCTACATACTACTTTGGAGGCTGAAAGATCTCAAGTCCTCTTCTACAAGTTAGATCTAATGTATGGGTTAATTGAAATTACAAATTTATTTGAAAATATCACTTGTAGCATATTTATCATACTTTGTTTTATTAATGCAGGATATTATTGGTAACATTTGGCCTGCTTGGTACAAATGGTTGATCTTGACGTGAACTCATAAGAATTGCTGTGTTTAGAGATTTAGGTGAAGGTATTGTCCCAAGTTCCAAGTTGTTCACAAAATCTCCAGGACTCGCTGAGCAAAGTCAGTAATGGAGCTGGGAAACTGACAGAACTATTCTTGCTATGACACTCTACTTCCACTATGAGAACTTCTATTGGAAACCAACTTTGTTCATTAACGTCTATTATTCATTTCTTTACTTATTCATTTATTCTTATGCATGAAGTATTGATCATGTATAAGGAATTTTGTGCTATGCAAGCCCCAAATCCTCTCTTTGTCAGCTTCAATATTTCTCACATCTGAAAAAAAACCACATATTTTGTTGGTCAAACCATGACACTTCTGACAATGAAAGTGGTAATATTCCCAGACAACTGGCCTAAACTCTTACTATTGCAGCCACATGAGGTCTCTATTTCAATCTTTCTCATTTTGGATTAGCAGTGTGAAATTGTTTAACAGATGGACAGATTTGTCGATAGGTGCTTTTAGAAATATTATTAAAATTATTGAATTTAAGGGTCAATTTAAATATCTCTGAGTACTTTCTCGTCTCTTTACCTGTCCCAATAAACAAGACGTCATATTGGCCATCCTCAGCTTCCACTCGATCTACTGCTATTTGTTTCAGGTTATATTTTCCATCTGTTTTTACCAATATTGGTTTTTTATGGGCAGGTTTTATGGCCTGGTACATTAGTGGATGACTTCTTGCAAATCGGATGGCATCATCAGGATAGTCCTTGGTGGTTCCGTATCTCCCTCCATTTACTTTGCTGGCACACTGAAAAACAAGTGGATCAGATAATTCTTTTTGCTTTACACCCAAAGAGAAAATTTATAATCAATTATGAGAAGAATCAGAAAAATTGAAGTTGTCAAATTAGTCAATTGTGCATTTAGAAATATTTAGTAATCATATATTTTTCTTTTTTTTTAACTTTTATTTTAGGTTCAGAGGTACATGTCCAGGTTTGTTATATAGGTAAACTCATGTTGTTGTACAGATTATTTTGTCACCCAGGCACTAAGCCTAGTTCCCAATAGTTCTTTTTTCTGATCCTCTCCCTCCTCCCACCCTCTGACTTCAAGCAGGCCCCTACATCTGTTATTCCCCTCTTTATGTCCATGTGAGTAACCATATATTTTTTGTTACAGAAATAGAATCTTCCTCAGAAATTGGAAAGGCTAAATTATTTCAAACATGCAGCACAAGATATACAGAGAAACTGGATAAATTCTGGAAAAGTGAAGTATAGTTACTATCAAGACTTTAGGGATGGTAAAAATGTTTAACATCATACATATTCAAATTATTTTCTCTGTTTTTGAAATTTGTTTTTTGTAATATAAGTTAAATTTTGAAGGGAAACAATCTATTGTTCACACAAAGAGAAGAAATCTCTTCGTTGTGTTGAAACTTCTAACTAAGGATCACAACTGTACAAAATAGCTTTACTACTACTGAGTCTATGATAATATGATCAGTGATGGTTCTGATTGGCTCACTGACTATAGAATTTTAGTGGTTCAACAAAAAAACCTATTCAGATGTTATCACTGTTAATTATCAATGGCAAAAAGACACTCTCTGTTTGCTGTAATCTACGTGAATTTGTATTTTTAATGGATTTGACAAAATAAACTGGGAAAACAAGAAATATGTGTTATGTCAATTTTTAAACTACTGACTAAAAAATTAAATACTCAACAGTAGCTTAAGTTACTCATTGGAAAACCTTTAAATGTGTTGATTCATGCTTGTTAGTAACTGCTCCCTCGTTTTACATATTTTCCTCCAGAACTACAACAATTGCAACGATTACCTTGATAAAAATTTTCCACTTTAGAGTATAAATACAGTAGTTTAGTAATCAGATTCCACAAAGAGGACATTTATAATGGTGTGGTTTTTAAAATCAGACCATATTTCCTAATTTGGCATGGATTTTTCACTTGAGTGTACTTTCATGATATATAATTGGAAACATTTTGGACTAGCTTGGAAGCAGTTCCATAACCAGTCGCTTCCTCCAAATCTCCTTTAAGACCATGTGGTTTCAGGAAGCATTTCCAGCAAAGCCACAGGAGTAGGGTTTCTCCATTTAAAATTGTAATTTCAATCAATAGAGTGAAATAAAATATACTTTATGTCTTACTGGAAGTAATAATTTTAAGCTAGTGAGAGAGAGTGATTGAAATGGTAAAGCTTTAACACTTGTTAATGGAAGTAAGGTTTGTTTTCACTTTGGGTTTTTGCTCTACAAAAATGGTTTCTATTTGACTTGCAAGTAATCGTGGAATCAGTGTAGTGATGGGATTTCACCAGCTGCTTGTAAAAGTATAGATGTTGACTTGTGTGACAAGTTAAATCTTTGCTCTCCATAGCTCACATAGCACATACAATGATCCAAAGTTTTTCCAACCTAGTTGCACACAGGATGAATGATACAAAATCATCATCTCATCATCACCCTCACTATCATCATCAGTTTTAGCCATGTGTGCTAAAAGCACAAAAGACTTCATGCCTAGCTAAGAAGAATCTTAATAGTATAGTTCAGAGACAAGTGGTAGAACCTTTGTACTCTAGCAATACTTTTGTATTGGCATTTCTTTCCTAAGGGGCCAGCAAGGATGTTAAATGAGGTGCTAAGTATTCTGAGGAGATAGAGAAAAAAACTTCTTATAGATTTCCTACAATGAGAAGTAAGGAGACAGTTTGGCCTAGGGAAATTAGAGGCTAATTTAAATGTTAGAACATAAAAATTTGGTGACATTGTCCTGCTTGGAAATTATATGTGGTGCTAACTCCTCTGAAGAGGCTGAGAGGAATACGATGTTCATGTTACTGAATGTTTCTGTTTTCACCAGTACTTTTAAAAATAAAATTTCAATTGGTGTTACTTAGCCAAAATATCAATAATAGTACATATTTTATAATACTGCTGTGTCCATTATATATTATATTCTTTTTATTAAATAACAAGGATAAAACTTGAGATTTGAAGGAATATTTTTTTACTACATATACTTTTCACCAAGCATACTTTTAGGTATAGTATTCCTTAATTGTTTATCTGCAAAGTCTTATGAAACAGTGAACAAAATATTACCAAAAGTATACTTAAAAATAAGAATTATTTGTTATATAACTAAACTTACAGAACCAGGCCTTGGATAAGGGACTTTTCCTTCATAGACTGACCAGTGGTATTCAGGTCCTTCCTTATGTGCATATGGTCCGTTGAAGGCTGCCCGAATGCTAGACATGTGATAGACACATATAGCATGCCCTCGAAAAATATTACTGAAAAATACAAAAAAGATAATTATTCTTCTGGAACTAACTGCAGGTCATCTAGCCAAATACCCCAGCCTACAAAGATAAGAGTCAAGTCTTTTGGGTAAAGTGGTTGCAATTTCTTTAAGCAAAGAATATTCTAGGTATGTTAATTATTGCAATATTTCCAATTTTGAAACTCTGAAACTTACCATTTTCTTAACTGCCTACTTAATACACTTGAAGATGACATTGTTACAATGACAAAAATAATGTTACTTCAGTTATTTTTAAACCTTGTGTTTTTATATTTTTTTATTAAGGATGATCTGGCCTTCATATTAACAAAGGCTTATTCCCAAGTTGAATTACTCATTTAGATATTATCTCCTTTTATGTTGTTCTATTTTCAAAGTAGACAGTGTCCTCTTACTCACTATGCTGTTAATATTGCTACAAATTCTATTAAGATGTATTAAGTTTCTTAATGTATATGACTTAAAGAAAAATTTAAAGTCTTATGAAAATTTAGGCTTTTTTCCATTTTTTAGCGGGGGTTCATGTAAACTTTAATATGCTTGTATATTCCTTCCTCCAGTCACCACAAAGTGTCTTTAAAATTACTTTAACCATATAAAACTTAGATCCCTCATCTCCAGAACTAGCGGAAAGCAAAAAAATTTTCTTGATTAAAATTTCTACTTGACAGTATAAAGGCAGTAGTTGACTAACTGTGGCAAGTTTTATTGAAGATATTTGTAATCAGATTCTACAAAAGGACATTTTTAAAGATTTTTTTAAACATTCTTGCCATATTCCTTAATTTAGCATGAACTGAATGAATTATAACATTATCAGAATCTCTGTATTGTAAGAATCCAAATAATTAATGTTTGTGAAAGTGTTTTGCAAAATTCAAAGTTCTATATAAATAAAGTTTCCTACATCCTGAGACACCTGTAAAACAGCAGTTATGTTACTGTCCTACACCCCCAATTTACACATTTTATAACACACCTTGAAGCAATTGGAAATGCCTGGGATACAGGGAACACTTGAGATAGTCTCCTAACTAAAGTGGTAGCACGCCTTTGATCACCATTCTACAAATATCAATCCTTATGTCAGGTAACAGCTGGGAAGCTTTTGTTCTCAGATTTATATAAATTGAACAGTCAAAATAGAAATTATAGAAGAAAATAATGTCTTATGCTTGATTTCTCAGAAAGATCCATTACGCTATCATTTAGGAAAATAGCTTATAATCTGATCATATTAACCCATAGAAAAACTAAACCGATTATTCCATAGCTTTAATTTATCATATAAATTCACTGAATTATCATGCAACATATGAATTATTCACAGCATAAGGGAGGAGATGAAGTTAAAACGTTAAGTACTCTCCATGCGCTGTGATAACTACCAATCTACATTAACTATTTTTCTTTGCATCAAGGAATAATTGATAGACAAATTGTTTCCATGTTTCTCTGTTGAAGAAAAGGTCTCTTTGCAACAGCAGGATTCTTGTCTAAAGAGATGTATTATTTTCTCTAAGTGAGCATTAGAAACTACCTACTGAAAAATAACAAACTAAAGCTGTGTGGAAAGACCCCACGTAAGCACAGTATACATAATTATATGACAGTTTATGGCTTATATGATGTAAAAGAGGAATTCAGTAATATTATTCTAGCCCTGTCAAGAGAATTGAGGTATATTCTTCTTTATTTTTTATCCTAATCATTTTACCTGCACTATGCCTTACCTGGAAAGATACTCAGGAAATTGTCTATATAACCTTTTAACAAATACTGATTCTAATATTTTTATTTGTGTGTCAAAATATATGAAATAATATTTTATCCATTTTTACAGCACTTTACTATGGGTTAAAAAAATACAGAAACATAAAGGGGAAAACAATAGATTATACATCTTAAACTTGAGCAGCAAATTTAAAAGATAGAGAGCAAATGATGAACGTGTTCACTATGAATCAACGTAAGAGCAGGAAAATCAGAATGAAAGAGTGAGAAGAGTGTTCTATGATTATGAAATCGAGAAATTTTTCTTGGATATGGCAATTGGTAAGTATTGGAGAACTGATTTAAATCAGTGTTGGAGGAGAAAGTTTTTTCAAGCAAGGTAAGTGAATAAATAAAAATATAGTAATGGGAACTAGCAAAGTAGACACTGATTGGCATCTGTCAAGGCATTATCTTGTCAAAATCAGACCATTAGTGAACTCACAGGGAAAATGTCCAAAGGCAAGTGAGTAACAGTTGAGATAGAACCTTGAAAGCCTGGCTTGGAAAATTCTATGTGATGAATAAAGGAATTATCCTAGACTTTACAACATATAATAACACATTGTAAGGACTGATATCTTACAAACTGTATGTGAAAAAAAAATCACTGTGTTCTAGATTACAGAGTGAAGATATCAGGATACTGAGCACAGGAGGATTCTGGGTACTATAAACAGAAACAAGATTTGGATTTAGATTGAGCTTCTGAAAATGAAAGTACATTTGCAAACGTTGGAAAATAAAGATCAATTGGTGATTATAAAGTGTAGAAAATGAGAAGAGCAACTGGGTCAATAGTCTTTCAACTTATATACACCATGAAGGGAGAGTCCGGTGAGGCATCTCTTGTTCTATATTGTTTTTATTGACTGTATAAATTTCTCACCTGGTAGTGTTAAAGAGTCCAAATATCACTGGATTCTTATGATCTCTGGTAGGTAGCAAAAAAACGTCCTCTGAAAAATTAAAGGCCATTCCATCGCTTAGTATTTTTAGCTCTCTTTGCATGCAAAGAAAATTTATTCACCTAAATTTGTTTAGAACTCATTATAGATTTTGAGATGTGTATTTTCATATACAATCATACAACCATGACCAAGTCATAACAGAGCTAATCATTCAGCTATTCTGGGTGGCCTTGAGCTGAACAATAGGAAGGAACCAGACACTGACTCTAAGCTAACAAGATGAGCCTCTTTTTGTTCTTGCAATCCCTTTTCCCCCAGCATGCGTGCCTGGCCAAAATGAAAAGAACAGAAACTTGCTCTATGTTAGATAGAGGTCAAATACACAGAAAGCAAGTTTCTATGTGTCCTAGGGATAAAGTTATAAAGAAGCATATACATAAAAGAGCAAATTTAATTCACCTAAAAACATTTACCTAATTCATCAAAATATGTGTCAATTCCATTCATTCCTGGTACTGAGCAAACGAGTCTCGCTTTTAGGAAAGTGCTCCACTTATTCACCAGTATTCTCTGCCCTCCTACATCATTCTGTGAAAACCAAAAAGGAGGTAAATAGTTACCTAAAGAATTTCGACCAACCACAGATTTCATATTATTAAACATGCAGTTGCCAAGAGTTATGACTTTTTTATTTAACTAGGAAAATTTGGCATAATTCTCAAGTAATGTCATAGGTGCAACTCCCCATAATTTGGATTTTTATTTTTTTTTAGGTTTCTTCATTCGGCCTTGTCAGTGCACTTTCACCCTGATACAGTAAATATATTTTGCAGATATTAAACAATATTAATACTGCAAACTCTCCTAAATAGAATAGTGGAGAGATACAGTAATCATGATTATTACTTTGTTCATAAATAATTTGCCTCTCTCAGGAATATAGAAACACCCATTTCTTTTCTTCCTTTAACAAAGGAAGAAAGCTTTTCAAGAAAGTTTGAAATACACACACAACACCCATACTATATATGTATATAAATATATACATACACCACACACACAATATATATATGCACACATATTTATATGTAAATTTATTTTCGAACATCTTCTTAAATGGCAAGGTAACTTTACATTTGTAATTTTATTTGATTCTCTCAATATATGTTGCTACTCCTATTGGTTTTAAATGTTCCCAAACAACCTCTCTAAATATTCAGTAAGTTACAGATGGCTTTTTTAAAAATAATTTTAACCAACCGAATTGTTCAAACATAGCTATGTATATTATTTGTACTGTGTACTAAAGGAATAAAAAAGGTTTTGATCAAATTCATTAAGAAAAATAAAGTTCAAATTTCTGCATGGGAAGAAGGACAGTCTAATCATAGACGATTTCTTCTTGGTATAGCTTCAAAAATGGGGAAAATCATGCAAAATACAAGGTCCTTTTAAGATACACCTTTCACTAGATATGAAATGTAGAGGTTGGTATAGTAAATATCAATTGTAGGCAGTCTAAAGAATACTAGAAAATATTTAAAAGTAGAAACTTACTATAAACTTAATAAAGGCCTGACCATAAATTGTGAGATAAGCAAGCATAATGAGAGAGAAAGCCTCACCACACAGAGTCGCCCGACCCTGGTGTAAATTGCGTGAGCATTGTTTTCTGCCTCCAGTGCCTTCTCAGTAAAAAAGAAATATACTTTGTTGTCATCTCTGTCTTCATTGTCAGGAATCATGTATGAACCTACAAATTTTGGTTCTATAGGAGCAAAAAATAGGAGAAAAAGTGAAATAGATATTACAACTAAATGCTAACAAGTTATTCCAATAAATTGTATATCATCTGAATCCTTAAGTTTAACTTTCACCATTTCATAAAGAAATATTTTTCTTGAATTTTTTTACCAAACATTAAAAACTATGTTGATATCTCCACTTTATTTGCATATTAACAGCCCTTTTAGAAATATTACAAGAATATTTAATTGGAAAATAAAAGAATCCAGGAGAGAAGAAGAATTTCAAACAACATGCAATGCGAACTTAAAATGCATTCAGGAAAGAGCAGATTGGGAGCACAATGAAGACAAATCTCTACAAATTTCCTCCCATTGTAGGTAAAAACTAAATGTAAGTATAAGTAACATATTAAAGTAAATAAATCTATCATAATTTATTTTTAATTCATAAATGATCTACCAGTATAGCGCATAGATCATTTTAGTTTCAAAGTAGAAAATTTATTTTACGTTTTTGGGATTGTAGTCCAAGAGATTTGAATAAATGTTCTTTGATATGGTATGTAAAATATATGAATGGTATCATCAATGACTATGCATTTTAAAGCTTAATAAAAATGTGGAAAGTAATTAAAATGCTCACCATAAAACAATATTCTAGCACCTCCATATACCAGTGTGCCAAAATATAAAACTTACTTCTTACAAAGAACTCTGTATCAATGAATGTCTAGTGACTTTCCTAGAGTTTTGTCTCTAAAGTCTAATGCAATCCTATTAAAACAAGCAAAGCAGGGCAATCAATTCATCAAAGATTATATCAATTGATAAAAGTAGACAAAACAGCTTATTGGATGATGGACTTTTCACTTTTCATACATTTGTTTTGTTTTCCTTATTCAAATACTGATTTCTAAGCATTGCTCGGAAGGTATACTGATTTTATAATTAAGCCAATCAATTTTGATAGAAAATGATGTACATATATTATATACAATATTTTAATTCAAGAATGTTGCTAGTAAAACATTCTGAAATTTGTAAAGGAATTGTATTTATATTCTTATTATTATCAAAATGGCAACATTTTCCGTAAGTTTTAGAGTTGATTTCAATCCTAATTCACATACTCTTTTCCTCATCCTTACCTTTCAACAGACGCTCATCGTCATGCTCAGTGCGGATATGGGCCAGTCGCCCCATGCTGCGGAAGATCGCAGCGTCTCTGCTCCAGTAGTCACTGTAGAGTCCAGCAAACAATTCACTACCTACACGGGAGCATCAGTAAAAAAGAAGTCAGTATTTGTTAATATGTTAACAAATTAAACACATCCAAATTTAATATGTGTATCTATAATATGTACTTTATGACATTAATACTATTGCTGTTAGGAGCATGGATGGTATAGTAAGACTCCCAGGGTTTGAGTCCAGAGTCTGTCACTTACTAGGTGTGAACTTGGGCAAGTTGCTAAGTTCCCTGTGCCTCAGTTTCCTCATTTAGAAATTAGAAAAGTAATTGCATTCAGTAAGATAGTTAAGAGCAAAGCACTTGGAAGATCAGCTGGTAAATAGTAAGACCTATATGAGTTTTTGGTAAATACCTTGGCTTCATTTATTTTCCTAGACTTCTTTTAACCTCCCTATCATCAGGGCTTTATCATTATGATTGTTATTGTGATGATTACAGGTTTTATATGTCAGTCAGCTAATTCAAATCCTTCTTGTAACAAGATACTGCTATCATGAATATGATTTTAGTGTGGGAACAACAAAGTCTAACAAAGATGATATAATCCAATCAGTTGTCATTCAATTTGTAAATTTGTGGCTCAGTCAGATAGGAAGGATATAAAAAGCGCTCAAAATTTAATCAGACAGTCAACAAAATGATTGAAGGAAGTTAGTTGCAACATGTGGTGGCAGTCACAGTCTTAAAATCAGACTGAGAAATTACATAATGTATTCAGGGTCTCAGGAAATAACCATGTGTCTTTTGAGTAAGAAAAAAGACATTAAAATAACTTAAGGGAGAGTATAACTTGAACTCCAGGAAGATCAATAGCTCTGAAGCATAGGGACTTAGAATCCTTTCCCAAAACTCACAAGAGGTAATCAGTGTGCCCATCAGTTTTACCAGAAGGATGTCCTGGCCATACCCGGCTCAGTTGTCCTGTCTGGAGCAAAAATCTCTGGCCAAGAAACAAATGATAACAGCAGATTGCTGGAAACAGCAACCTCAAAGCAAAGTGGTAAAATTGTTTTCTTAATGAGTGGCATATAACATTGGTCTAGTTCTAAAACAGATATGATTATTATATTACATAGTACTAATGCTTTTTTGTTAAGTTTGCAATGTGTATGCATACACATATTTAAAATGCTTTAAAGGTTAAGAGATTTCAAAATTAATTGTATTTCCAACTTAATATATCTAATTATGTAATTAATTTTATAATTAGGATTATTAAAGTTGCAGGTATAAGAATTTGACCAAATATATAAACAGAATTTAAAAGATATTGAATACTTTATTTATAAATTTTATTTATTAGAACTTTAAAAATTGTTTAATTATTTATGAAGGACTTTTTTCCCAAGGTAAGGTCTTTAAAGCTTTGGAAAACTTCAGAAGTGTAAGCATTTTTGTATGATTTAACATTTGAGAAAATGATCAATTAAATTATATATAAGACAAATTAAAAGGAAGTTTATTTTCAACTTGCATTAACTATTAATATTTTAAAGGTAAAGATGATTGCTTTTGTTATACCAAATTTAGAATAATATGATATAAATTAAACTCAAAGATTAAAAAAATAAGCTTTAGAAGTACTACTATAATAGTCTTTTTCATTTTAAAAAGATAAATAATTCTAATTAGTTTTTCTCTGTTCACAAAATCCTCTATGGATGCCTAAAACACTCTATGAGATACAAATAAATACAATCTATGGTTTCCAAAAAAGAATTCATTTTAAAATTATATATTCTAAATGAGAGAGGAAAAAGTAAATGTGTCAGAGTGTTAACAATTGGTGAATCAAGGTAAATGGTATACAGGTGTTAATTTTAGTTTTACTTCAAATTTCTTTGTATTTGAAAATTTTCAAGATCACAGAGTTTTTAAAAAGATATATTTGTTGAGTTCTTCTAGTATATTCAACTTACGCTAAGTGAGAGGTATGATGTAAGGAAAATAACAAAAACTAAATGACTATTTAAATCTGGACTTAACAATATATAATTTGGTAGAGAAAAGTTATGTTAGAACTCTTAAGCATATCATGTTATTTGATAATAGAAAGGGAAAAGATTAACATAATTTTTTATCAAAGTCATTTAATTAGTGCTGTCTTTCCCAGAAATTTTATGTCTATGTTTGAAGAAGTAGTATTTTGAGACCAAATGCATAAATGCATTCAGTGGTTAGGAATATGACCTGTTACCTGGAATTCAGTCTGCATTATTTGAACATGGATAAAAGAGAGTCATTAAAAGGACTTTGGAATCATCAACTCTATGGCATAAACAACCAAGTTGACACTTAAAAAAATTGACTATTAACACATGAGTGAGGATTTCTCTGAAATATTTTTGTTTTTAATTATTATAGTTGAGTTATGTTTACCACACCAAATATAAAGACCAGCTTGTTAAATGGTTGAAAATATAATTTATTTCGCTACTGTGGGCTGGTCTGAATCTTTAATGTATAATGGGAATGAAGATTAGATTTCTTTAAAATCATGAGTTTTCTATTCTTTACATTTTTAATATTTGATTTTATATCTTAAAGTATTTTAGACTTTGATAATTGAAAATATTTTTATGGGAAAATAATATTTATATTAGTACACTTCGATTTTAATGGATTTATCCTAATTTGGAACATTGTTTCAAAATTATCGTTTTAACCAATGCTATAAAATTAACAAACAAGTATTCCTTGGAGCCACTAGGTGGCAGCCCTATGATGCTAGATAATACCATATTCAGAGACAATTCTCTGCACAAGAGAAAAAATAATGTATTCTCAATGTTACCCAGTTTCCCATTTTGCACTCAGGACAGAGAAAATTGTGAGCAATTCCCATAACACAATATGAACTGTATGACTTGAATTTCAAAGACACTATATAGGTGCTAAAAACTGTAAGCAACGTAAATAGAAACAAATGTGTTTCTGTTGGAAATGTTAGGTTTTCCTCAGAAGGGAGAGATATTCCTTTCATATCTTCATATCAATGCAAATTTAAAAAAATTCATAGTAATTGATAATAATTATGTTTAGCAAAATACTTTCCTAAGAAAATTAGAAAAGAAAGACAACACATTAGTGAAAAATAAATAATAATATTAATAAAACCTTAGGTAAAATAATACCTAATAGTAATTAAGTAAGCAAAAATACTGGGCATTATTAAAATTTTTAATACAATTTGTAGGAAATACATAGTCTCTAATTAAATTTATTATAACTATTTGGTATCAGAAAAGTTGTGAATCAATACATTGATCTTTTACAGAATGCAAAAATAACATCTAGATAAATCATATTTTCATGGATTAAAATAGGAAAACATTTTATAAAAAGATTAAAATACCTTTTAGGGCTTCAGTTATAACAGAAGAACTATCTAAGGATTTAGTTTTCTATGTCTATGGAGATGGGCGAGTTTAACAACTTCTCACACTCAACAATAGTCTTTATATAGAGAAGAAAGAATAGTAGAAATAGTTCTGCAGTGGAAATCTGGCAAGCCAAGTCTCTAGCTCAAAATCTGCTGTTTGACCACCACAAACTGCTCAAAATCTCAAGGTCTCAGTTATCTGCAGAATCAAAGAGACTGCCATGTAATTCTCGGAAACTGCCAAGCTTTTATGTTCTCTCTGCTCTTTGGCCTAGAATTCCACACCTCTCTTCTCACTTCACCTTCCTTTTGCCTGGTTATTGTCCGCTTTTTCCATGACACCTTGTCTGGCCAAACTTTTTTAGTGTAGTGGTTCCTAGTGCCACTGTAGCTCTGGTACCTATTTCTATCCTACTGCTCATCCAACTATATTTTTATTGACTCCTTGTGTGTTTGAAATGATGCCTCATTAATGTCTGAAATACAAAAAATGCTCAATAAATATCTGTTGAATCAAAGAATGGCTTAATGAGTTCATAATTAAATATATCAGAAGTTCCTTTCAGGGTTTAAAAAAGGTTATGAAAGGCTGTGAAGTGTCAACAATCAGGGCCAGGTGCAGTGATTCTCGCCTGTAATCCCAGCACTTTGTGCAGCCCAGGCCGGAGGATCGCTTGAGTTCAGATGTTCAAGATCAGCCTGGGCAACATAAAGAGACCCCCATCTCTACAAATAATAATAATAATGATAAATAATAAAGTAGCTGGGCATGGGGGCCTACACCTGTGGTCCCAGCTACTCAGGAGGCTGAGGTGGGAGAATCTCTTGAGCCAGGCAGGTAGAGGCTGCAGTGAACTATGATTGTGCTACTGCACTCCAGCCGAGCCAGACCCTGCCTAAAAAAAGATAAAAAAAAAAAAAAAAACACACAGGATAAGATCTTAACTTTTAAAAACTGTTTCAGAGAGAAAATATCAAACGAAAGAAAAGGCTATTGGGAATTTACGTGGATAACAAATTTGAATTTTTGTTCCTTGAGGGCCTTACGTTATTAATTTTAATAGATTAAAACAGGAACTCTATTTTTTTCAAAAATTGATCCCCAAGAATTTCAGCCCAAAGGACATTATATTGTGATTAAAAGAGTGTGTCAACACTAAATTGCTTATGTGAAAGAAAATAAGACAATCATTTGACTCTTTGAAATAGATAAAAACACATTCTTTATATTAATTCTAAAATGTGTAACTAAAATACTTTTCTATATAACTCCTTTTTTTTACAATGTGAACTCTAGTTGAAGTTTTAATTAAATCCATTGCATTGCCTTAATATTTTATGGAACGTATCAAGAGTTTTGTTCATGGACTATATATTATCTGAGTTTTTATTTACCATGTTGGATTTTAATTGTATAACAAGAAAAATTCACAGTAGTGTTTCATGACCTTCTTATCTTGTTAAGTTTTACTCAAGCATTGCTTCTGTTTATGTTATAAATGTATGTTATGCAAATCTAAATAATGTGAAACATATTTGCCTCATGGAACAGCATATGGCTAAAGACTGATTTAGCTGCCTCACTTTATAACTGAATTTTATAATTTTGTTAGAACATTATTCTATTGTGGATGGACTGTTTTGCAGAATCACTATGACATGCATAGCTACAAAGAGAAACAAAATGCACTTGGGAGGATGAGGATGGATGAAAATGACTCACATATTTCAACATCCCGGTTCACACTCACATTCTGCTTAGGATGCTGAAAGAAACCAGGAAGAATGTGAGATTCTGAATGTGTGATTTTATTAGGCATTTAGCTGTTGTTTGGGCTTTCGGTTTATTTTGGTTTGGGAAGATGATTAGCACTAGCTCTCAATGTTAAGAAGGTGGTTTTGAGGCATGAAGGAACAATAAAAATATCTTTTGAATCTGTTTATTTGTGTGTGCCAGCACCCATGGCTGTACTCTTGAGTTTTCTTGGTGGCAAACCAATGATATTGATACCATGAGGGTTAAAACAGATTCTCAAAGGAGAGAATATAAGTGGGGAATTGAAGAGTGGGGCTTTTTTCTTAGTCCTTTACCTCTTTTCGTTGTGACGGAACCATAAGTAAAGTATTCAAATAGCTCCTCAGAGACTAGCAGTCATGGCCAGAAGCTACAATAAGCATGTGGATAATGGGCATTCTGCCAAGTGAGAGAGAGAGCGAGCAGCAGCATTGGATAAGAAATTATAGATATTCTTTAGGGACAGGAAAGTGGTAAGGGAATAACCTGAAGTCTATGTTTCTATATAGTTGAGGTGAATTCAAAACACGAGGCAACACATTTGCTTATTATGTTTGTAGAACTTACCATTATAAAGACAAATATTCTAACTTCATTTATAATTTTTTCATTTATTTTTCTAATAAATGACCTTACTTTGTGCCAGTTTATTCCCTGAATGCAAATATAGTTAATTAAAAATAAACAATTATTTATTTAAAATGTTTTAATATTATTAACAACTTGAAACAATAACTTAAATTTTCTCTGCATGCATTCTAACTCCCATTCATTCAATTGACATTGACTTTTAATTTACAAAATTCATAATAAGGATATATATTCACAAAGGTATTATTATTATGGATAAAAGCTCAGTCAGGAAGAGGATTTCAGTGGCTGTAAACTTTGTAGTTTTATTTGCTGAAAAAAGTAATAGAAAAAAAGTGTAGGAAAAATTCATGGACTATAAAATGTCTTATTAGTGATTATTTGTTAAAATAAAATTCATGGACTATAAAATATCTTATTAGTGATTATTTGTTAAAATAAAATTTAGTGTGCATTTACTTTGAAAAGCATCCCTAAAAATACTCCAACAACAAAGTTAATCCTTTCAAAGCAAAGTTTCAAAAGGTACATGACAAATCAGGGTGTTTTTTTCCCCAAACTCTAGCTACATGTGTCTTATCATACCTTAGGCATTTCAGTAATGGTAGGATTAAATTATACCTGGAATTGGTAATACAACTATGGGTCAGAATAAAATTTAAAAATAAAAATGGCTATAGAATTAAAAGGAGAAACTATGGGGGACTGTAACGTTACTGAAGATATTATCAACTTAATTAGAATATTGCAATAGTATGTCAAATATAACTGATAAAAAGAGTCAGCAAAAATATTTGCTTCTTGGCCAAAATGACACATGACATAAAGAACACTGTTTCCTGGATTTTTATTTGGCCACTTACCAAACTTAATAATTTAGTAGCAAGATAATTACTAAGTATATTTGGATGATTTGAAAGGCATGGATACGCAATGCAGCAATTCATTATACTGAAAAATTTATTGTTTCAACAAGCTGCTTTTAAAATCAAGTTGTAATGCCTTGTCTTCCTCAGACAGTTACTTAAAACCACTTCAAATACAGTAGGAGTAATCACACTGGAGGAAAACTTGGCCAAACATGCAGAAATATGGCACCTGAGATATGAGCTGATATGCTACCAATATAAATTGTGTTACTACAAAGACGCATTGGAAGAGCAAGCCTATTTAATATATGATTTCATTTTGATTAGTTTCTGAATATATATGACATAGTTCAGTTAGAAGCTTGTTTTTACTCCTTAAATCCTTTGTCGCATAGAATTATTACAAGCTATCAAGTTTTCATTTCTAAGTTAGATTATAAATGAAATAAAAATGTGCTTTATAACTTGTCTTTCATCTATCAAATAAGCTTTAATATTTATTCAATTTTTTATTAACCTCTTCTTCGTATGAACTTAAGTCAACTGAATTTAAGTTAACTGAATTAAAATTGTATCTAAAATTAGGAAATTACATAGAAAATTCTCTAATTTGCAAGCACCATTTTTTTTTAGGTCAAGCAGCTTTATGAGTATGCTACCAGTTTCAGTGTTTTATCATTAAATTTGTCTTCATGTGAACAGACATTAAACATTGTGTGACATATAATTAACCATGAAACTAAGAAGTAGCAATAATCTAA